>NC_000003.12:107038907-107341937 GCF_000001405.40 Homo sapiens
ATAATTGGAAGTAAAACACTCCTCAGCAAATGCAAAAGAATGGAAATCATAAGAGTCTCTTGGACCACAGTGCAATGAAAATAGAACTCAGCATTAAGAAACTCACTCAAAACCACACAACTACATGGAAACTGAACAAACTGCTCCTGAATGACTATTGGGTAAATAACAAAATTAAGGCAGAAATAAAGGTGTTCTTTGAAACCAATGAGAACAAAGATACAACGTACCAGAATCCCTGGGACACACTTAAAGCAGTGTGTAGAGGGAAATTTATAGCCCTAAATGCCCACAAGAGAAAGCAGGAAATATCTAAAATTGACACTCTAACATCACAATTAAAAGAACTAGAGAAGCAATAGCAAACAAATTCAAAAGCTAGCAGAAAACAAGAAACAGCTAAGATCAGGGCAGAACTGAAGGAGATAGAGACACAAAAAACCCTTCAAAAAAATCAATAAATCATTTTGGGAGGCCGAGGCAGGCAGATAATGAGGTGAGGAGATCAAGACCATCCTGGCTAACATGGTGAAACCCTGTCTCTACTAAAAATACAAAAAATTAGCTGGGCGTGGTGGCGGGTGCCTGTAGTCCCAGCTACTCAGGAGGCTGAGGCAGGAGAATGGTGTGAACCCGGGAGGCGGGGCTTGCAGTGTGCAAAGATCACGCCACTGCACTCCAGCCTGGGTGACAGAGCAAGACTCCATCTCAAAAAAAAAAAAAAAAAAAATTAATGAATCTAGGAGTTGTTTTTTTCTAAAGATCAACAAAATAGACTGCTAGCCAAACTAATAAAGAAGAAAAGAGAGAATAATCAAATAGACACAATAAAAAATGATAAAGGGGACATCACCACTGATCCCACAGAAATACAAACTACCATCAGAGAATACTATAAACACCTTTATGCAGATAAACTGAAAAATCTAGAAGAAATGGATAAATTCCTGGACACATACACCCTCCCAATACTAAACCAGGAAGAAGTCGAATCCCTGAATAAACCAATAACAAGTTCTGAAATTGAGGCAGTAATTAATAGCCTACCAACCAAGATAAGTCCAGGACCAGACGGATTCACAGCTGAATTCTACCAGAGGTACAAAGAGGAGCTGGTATCATTGCTTCTGAAAATATTCCAAACAATAGAAAAAGAAGGATTCCTACCTAACTCATTGTATGAGGCCAGCATCATCCTGATACGAAAACCTGGAAGAGACACAACAAAAAAAGACAGTTTTAGGCCAGTATCCCTGATGAACATCTATGTGAAAATCCTCAATAAAATACTGGCAAACCGAATCCAGGAGCACATCAAAAACTTATCCACCACAATCAAGTTGGCTTCATCCATGGGATGCAAGGCTGGTTCAACATACGCAAATCAATAAATGTAATCCATCACATAAATAGAACCAATGACAAAAACCACATGATTATCTCAATAGATGCATAAAAGGCTTTCGACAAAATTCAACACCCCTTCATGCTAAAAACTCTCAATAAACTAGGTATCAATGGAACATATCTCAAAATAATAAGAGCTATTTATAACAAACCCACAGCCAATATCATACTGAATGGGCAAAAACTGGAAGCATTCCCTTTGAAAACCAGCACAAGACCAGGATGCCCTCTCTCACCACTCCTATTCAACATAGTATTGGAAGTTCTGGCCAGGGCAATCAGGCAAGAGAGAGAAATAAAGCATATTCAGTCAGGAAAAGAGGAAGTCAAATTGTCTCTGTTTGCAGATGACAAGATTGTATATTTAGAAAACCCGCATCATCTCAGCCCAAAATCTCCTTCAGCTGATAAGCAACTTCAGCAAAGTCTCATGATACAAAATCAATGTGCAAAAGTCACAAGCATTCCTATACGCCAATAACAGAGAGAGAGCCAAATAATGCGTGAACTCCCATTCACAATTGCTACAAAGAGAATAAAATAGCTAGGAATACAACTTACAAGGGATGTGAAGGACCTCTTCAAGGAGAGCTACAAACCACTGCTCAAGGAAATAAGAGAGGACACAAACAAATGGAGAAAAAAAAATCCATGCTCATGGATAGGAAGAATCAATATCGCAAAAATGGCCATACTGCCCAAAGTAATTTATAGATTCAATGCTATCCCCATCAGGCTACCACTGACTTTCTTCACAGAATTGGAAAAAACTACTTTAAATTACATATGGAACCAAAAAAGAACCCACATAGCCAAGACAATCCTAAACAAAAAGAACAAAGCTGGAGGCATCACACAACCTGACTTCAAACTATACTACAAGGCTACAGTAACAAAAACAGCATGGTACTTGTAACAAAACAGATACATAGACCAATGGAACAGAACAGAAGCCTCAGAAATAACACCACAAATCTACAAGCATCTGATATTTGACAAACCTGACAAAAACAAGCAATGGGGAAAGGATTCCCTATTTAATAAATGGTGTTGGGAAAACTGGCTAGCCATATGCAGAAAGCTGAAACTGGATCCCTTCCTTACACCTTATATAAAAATTAACTCAAGGTGGATTAAAGACTTAAATGTAAGACCTAAAACCATAAAAACCATAGAACAAAACCTACGCAATACCATTCAGGACATAGACACGGACAAAGACTTCATGACTAAAACACCAAAAGCAATGGCAACAAAAGCCAAAATTGACAAATGGGATTTAATTAAACTGAAGAGCTTCCGCACAACAAAAGAAACTATTATCAGAGTGAACAGGCAATCTACAGAATGGGAGAAAATTTTTGCAATCTGTCCATCTGAAAAAGGGCTAATATCCAGAATCTACAAAGAACTTAAACAAATTTACAAAAAAAAAAATCCACCCCATCAAAAAGTGGGCAAAGGATATGAACAGACACTTCTCAAAAGAAGATATTTACACAGCCAACAAACATGAAAAAAAGCTCATCATCACTGGTGATTAGAGAAATGCACATCAAAACCACAATGAGATACCATCTCGCCAGTTAATGGCAATCATTAAATAGTCAGGAAACAACAGATGCTGGAGAGGATGTGGAGAAATAGGAATGTTTTACACTGTTGATGGGAGTGTAAATTAGTTCAACCATTGTGGAAGACAGTGTGGTGATTCCTCAAGGATCTAGAACTAGAAATACCATTTGACCCAGCAATCCCATTGCTGGGTATATAACCAAAGGTTTATAAATCATTCTACTATAAAGACACATGTACACGTATGTTTATTGTGGCACTGTTCACAATAGCAAAGACTGGGAACCAACCCAAATGCCCATCAATGATAGACTGGATAAAGTAAATGTGGCACATATACACCATGGAATACTATAGCAGCCATAAAAAGGATGATTTCATGTCCTTTTCAGGGACATGGATGAAGCTGGAAACCATCATTCTTAGCAAACTAACACAAGAAGAGAAAACCAAACACTGCATGTTCTCACTCTTAAGTGGGAGTTTAACAATGAGAACACATGGACACAGGGAGGGGAACATCGCACACCGGGGCCTGTCAGGGGGTAGGAGTTTAGGGGAGGGATAGCATTAAGAGAAATACCTAATGTAGATGATGGGCTGATGGGTGCAGCAAACCACCATGGCACGTGTATACCTATGTAACAAACCTGCACGTTCTGCACATGTACCTCAGAACTTAAAGTATAATAATAAAAAAAAGCTCAACATTACTAATCATTAGAAAAATGCAAATCAAAACCACAATGAGATATCATCTCACACCAGTCAGAATGGCTATTAGTAAAAAGTGAAAAAAATAGCAGACGCTGGCAAGGTTGCAGAGAAAAAGTAACACTTATACACTGTTGGTAGGAGTGTAAATTAGTTCAACCATTGTAGAAGATAGTGTGGTGATTCCTCAAAGACCTAAAGAAGAAATGCTTTTGATACAGCAATCCCATTACAAAGGAATATAAATCATTCTATTATAAAGATAGAAGCACACGTATGTTCACTGCAGCACTATTCACAATAGCAAAGACCTGGAATCAACTCAAATGTTTATTAATGGTAGACTGGTTAAAGAAATTGTGGTACATACACACCATGGGATACTATGCAGCCATAGAAAAGAAAAAGATCATGTCTTTTCAGAGACATGGATGGCGCTGGAGGCCATTATCCTTAGGAAACTAACACAGGAACAGAAAACCAAATACCACACGTTCTTACTTACAAATGGGAGCTAAATAATGAGAACACATGGGCACATAGAGAGGAACAACACACACTAGGGCCAAGTGGAGGATGGAGGCAGAGAGGAAGGAGAGGATTAGGAAAAATAACTAATGAGTACTAGGCTTAATACCTGGGCGATGAAATAACCTGTACAACAAACCCACATGACACAAGTTTACCTATGTAGCAAACCTACACATATAAACCTGAACTTAAAATAAGAGTTTAAAAAAAGCCATGTGGCTATGCAAACTTTTTATCTTAATATACTACCCTTCCTATACCAACCTTTCTACCCCACCTTCCCCATCTCCCACAGACATACCACGAACTATTTATTCCTGACTACTCAGAGTTTTCCAGATCCACGATACACTTTCATTGCTTTCTGCCTCTGATTATGCTATTCTATTGCCTGGAATTTCATCCCCTATCCTTTCATGTGTCTGATAGACTCTTACTTTGACATAATTCAAATGCCCCGCCTCTCATGGAAAGCCTTCTCCTGTTGTCTCAGATCAGATTCTCCATTCTTAGTATTGCACCCTACTTCATATATACTACTTCATCAGAACTTACCATGTAATATACTAATTATTCATGTACTTGTCTTCCCTGCTAGGTACTGAGTTTTTCATAGTTAGGAAATGCCATTCAGCTTCATACTACAATGGCCTCAAGTGCCCAGGTCTTATTGAATTAAATTGAATATAAGGTAAGCACCTTATAAGGTAAGCATTAAATATGTTTGAATAGGTGGTGGTGTCAAAAGCTAGATTCATACGATGCTCATCCAAGTTTGCAAAACTGTAACTCATATTTTTAATAACTTTTATTAAGAAATAGCTTATTCATATTTCCAGAAATTTCAGAAAATAAAGTTTAAGAATTGTATAAAGGGAACCATTTATTTTATTTCACAACGATTAGTTTAGTCATCCCAGCAGTATAACTGGAGTTCAGAGCCTCAAACTGGCTTAATATAGTTGGTTTCAGTGAATTAAGGAATAAAACTGTACTCTATTATCAAGGTACAATAACACTATGCACTGAAAAAGCACAGAGGAAGTAAAAGGTTAATTGGAATTTAAATCAAACCCCATTTTAGTTGACTAAATAAGTCTTTAATCAAAAGGTGGAAAGCAGCATTAAACACCGTAATAAATATGTGTTATCATCTGAGATCTTGGCTTGTAAAAGTATGATAAATCAAGAAGTGAACTTTATTACAATACAAACAATTTTACAGCATATAAGAACACAGCTAGCTGTGACATAGAAACAATCTGACTAAAGCACAATTTACAACATAATTTGAAATATAGCAGCCACTGAGTAAAAGCATAAGTCATAAGCAATTTATCCAGCAGAATTAATGACAGTGTTAGCCCAAACCGATACAACTATGTAGACACCTTGGAGACCACCTCAAATTCTAAAACTTGTTTAGAACTGAAATCAAGTGCAAACCCTGATACAATCAAATGGTCATTGAATGACAATAAATATAGGTCATTCTGAAGTTTAATTTCTAAGTATGAGGTATTATTTGAAAATTTGTATTCAATCATTTATTTTTGTTATTGCATTAACATGAAAGTTACTGCATTATATTGTCAATAATTTGTTTCAAAGTCAGTAAAAAGAATTGCAAGCTGTCAACAATTGTAAGAGCTTGTGCCAGTCATACTGACAGAAGCAATTCACAGCCTTCTTTGATGAACACTCAAAGAATGTCCAAAATTGTCATGCCAGGAAATTCTATTTTCTCTGAACTTACAGTTTATCCCAGAAAATTGGTATTTCATTTCACTAGGATAAAAAAAACCTGCATCTGCACTCCACTGCTTTCTCACTCTGAGACACGTGACTCAGATGGTATCTCCATCCTGAGGAAGGCTTCAGGAAGAGATGAGGGAACATTAATGTTCTTTTTAAGCAGAAAGAAACAGAAGATTTACTTGTTTCCCTCTCAGAAAAGATCATCCTCCTAATTAGGTATTTCATCAACACTGTATTTCCCACAAATGTAAAATTCTGTATATTCTTTCAGTCCATCTATAAAGATAAAATTTCCCACAAAGCTGACAATCATTACCATTAAGTGACGCTTATGAAGTCCTAGATTCGCATAACTGTGTGTGGAAAATTTATAATAAAATTTAAAGGCAGTGCTCTCCAGAATTACATTTACATATTCAACTTTTTTAATCACAGAAGGAATCATATCGAGATGATAACTCTGCAATTATCTGCACAGTTGCTGCGATCACCAACAAGAATAATACCTATGAATACACAGTGTGACCAAAATACTCAGAATTCAGTACCAGTAGTTTTATACTAAAGAGTGAGAAGACATTATCTGTCTTCGATTTGCCTGTAATTTATAGAAGAATGTGGTAATGAAGAAAGACTCAATCTAAGAAGCTCAGAATATGCTAGATTAAAACTCAGAAGAGCCTGGGTTCTTTAACCTCAGGCTTACTGTGTTCATGCTGTAGCCTTCATCTCCTTCCTTTGGGTTCAACATAATACTGACTTTGCTTCCTACTGATGATTTATATCCAAAGTCATGGTGACCAGTGTGTTATACAGTGGTATACAGTGCATACTGTATAATTTGAACCTATGGCATTAGCAATTCCAACAAAAAGTGACTGCTGATTCCAGAATTCTGCCTTAAAAAGCTAAAAATGCACACACAATATAAGAAATGTCCCTTCTCCCCTGTAGTGTAAATGGCCAAGCTAGAGCCTAGAGAGCCTGTCAAGGAACTTACTATCGTTATAAAATGCCAGAGTTGCAATCAATAGTATCTTCTGACATTTCAGAAGAGCAGCTCAGCAGCATTCACACCCAGGTTGGTCACGTTCCATGATGCCAAGAGTGAAACTGACAAAGGCAGCACTCACAAGCCAACGAGTTCAGCTGATGCTAGGCTTGCCATGCACAGTGGCAGGGCACTGACAGTTTCCACAGCTGCTTAGAGTCAGTGAAGGAAGGAGTATGAAAAAAAATGGAAGAAGGAACTCCTCTCATCCTATTTTAGCTTATTAATTCTTGGCAGATAGTTTGACTTCCCACTTCTGCCTCTGCCTGAGAATTTCTAAGCTCTGAGCAGTGTCATTTTTCCTTGACTCTGATCTTCACATGGACAGCGAAGGATCTTAGGGGATTTGAGCCTCCCTAAATTAAGGTAATTTAAATTGCTACTAAACATATTACAGCGGAAAGGTATGAGCAAGTATATAAATATGCCTCTGATTGTTTTATTTTTGCCACAGGGAGATCTCAAAAAATTAAAATTATTCATGTAGAAACTTCATAACAATGGAAGTTTTCCTGGAGAAAAGCAAGTATATACCTATGTTACACTTAAATCACCCCCAAACTACCCTTTTTTGCCAAATTGAAGAATAATAGATTTGAATTCAGTTATCCCAGAAGTAAACATGTTTCTTTAATTGCCTTCTTAAAAGTCTTATTAACATTTTATTGTAACACAGGTTGAACCTCATTTCTATGAATATTTCCTAATGAAAACTATGGCTCATGTAATTTCTTTTCTCTACTTCGTAGCAATTGATAATTGAGTTCAACATCTCCAACTATCTAGCAATTATTCTGCGGCCATACTTCATGTAGACAGTGCAGAGCAAGGTGGAAGGGGGTATTAGAAAGCATGGATCACTAATAGATCTGCTTTGGGAAATGTTTAAACCATTAACCTCCAAACCTGTCACTCAAAAGAAAAATTGTCTCTCTGAAGGGTAATGACACACATGAAGCTCAAGAACACATTGGTCACCCAATCACCAGAATTGAAAAAGTAATCTAGTTTAATTCAAAATCCAACCAAAAATATCTGTGGGACCACATTGAGCAAGGCACTGCGAGGGACACAAAGGCAGAGGCTGTGTGCCTTAATAAGCTCTCATAAATAACTCCAATGCAGGCTTCCAAGTGATTTAATTGGAGTGGAGAGGAAGCACTAAAAAAGTGAAAGATCATATTTTTTGGAACAACTAGAAAAATGGCATGGAGGATTTGACATTAGGAATAAAATTTAGCATAAAGAGTTTTTCTGGAAATTTGTTTATCCAGTCATTTTTCTCTCAAAAATAAACATGAAGAGGAGGTAATTAATATGAATATAGTAAACTTTTTGTAGCTTTTATAAGCTTTGGGGCAAAGAGCAGGCAGAATGATTTAATTCTTATATTTGATCTTCCTCTTCCTGTATCTGCTACTAATTTACCTGGTATATACGGTGTTTTTTTTAATGTAGTTGAATATAATTAAATGTCTAAATATATTTTGACATAGTTATGCTATAGAATATTATGCAGTAGCTTAAAAATAGATAAATTTATGTGTAGTTAGATGAATAAATTTCTAGAATATAAGTTGAATGAAAAAGTCAGTTGTAGAAAGTTGCACACAGTATATTTGCCAGAAACATTAAGGAGAATTATAACTTATTAAGTTCTATTTATCTAAATTCTAAGCCCATAAAACTCAATTCACTTGAACCTCTAGGTAATAACTTTGAAAACTTGGTGTAGGCCAGTGCAAGAAAGACATTCATGTTTTAAGTTTTTAAGATAGATTCAACTTCAGGAATGGTATAGCTCTGAAAAATAGTCAACAATTATATAGAGGGACAAGGACTTGAGGATGGTGGTGTTGTTTAATCACTCTCTCTCTCTGTACAGTATCTAGGAGTGGCCTGGAAGGCAGGGGCTGTTCCAGCTCTGCACTGGGCTTTCAGCTCTGCTACCACCAGGCACTCTATAGGACCTTGGCAATGCTCATAGCCAAAGCTCTTGTCTTGAATGCTTCTCTGTTTCATTCCCACAACTTGTGAATCCACTGGCCATCATGTGCCCAAAATATGTCTTATTAAATAAAATCAAAAGCTACTAATATCAAGCAGCAGGGAAAGAGAACGATTAAAAATACACTTACAGACAAGCATTTACCAACTATATTCTACAGACTACTAGCCCTGGGGGATTCTCCATTCAGAAAAGAGGTCAATGTTTAGAAACCCGCAAGAAACCATAAGCTTGTATGAGAGAGTCACAATTCACAATAATATATTTACACATATTAAACATTCTGAGAAGTCACGTAGCAACAGATTCTGTGAGCATTGTTTAATATTTCTCTCTTTAAGCTCCAGTCCCATCTGTCTCTTCAACACATCCAAAGGCATCCAAAACTTCATGTGAGAGAATCTGAACTTATGGGTTACGGCCCCAACCTGATGCTCCTCTTGTGACTCTTAAAGTGAGCAAGCCATTCATCTAGTTGTGCAGGTCACACTAGTTTAAGCCACAAAGTTTAATCCCTCTTTCTCTCACCTTATATATACAGTCCAACACCAAATCCTGTTAATTCTACACATACGAAAAGTCTCCCAATTTTGTAAATTTTTCTTGTTCTCTGCCATTCCCACTGTCATACGTACTACCACTATCTCGTACCTGAACCACTGCTGTGGTCCCTTACCCAGAACTCTCATATCCATTACAGTTTCCTGTATCAGTCTTCTCAGGCTACCGTAACAAAATACCACAGACTGGGCGGCTTAAACAACAGAAATTCATTTTCTCACAGCTCTGGAGCCTAGAAGTCCAAGATCAAGGTGCCAGCAAGCTTGGTTTCTAGTCAGGCCTCTCTTCTTGGCTTGCAAACAGCCACCTCATTTCTGTGTCCTCACATGGCCTATTCTATGTGGATGTTACAGGTGCAGGGTAGGGAAAGAGGGAAAGGGAGAGGAAGAGAAAGATCTCACAACCTCACACGCTGGTGTTTCTTCCTCTTCTTATACAGGCATGAGTCCTATCCGATTAAGACCCTTCCTCTTACTTCACTTAACTTTTATTACCATCATATAGTCCCTATCTCCAAATAGTCACATTGGGGTTTGGGTCCTCAGCATATGAATTGTGTGTGGACACAATTCAGTCCATAACACCCATGTCTACTCTAATCTCCATACTGCGGCCAAAATGTTACTTTAAAATGAAAATTTGATCATGTCACTCTCTTTCAAAAATGGTCTTTAATACAACCATAGACATTTTGCTCATACGGGCCTCCACTTATCCTCCCTGTGTGTGCTTCTGGTACACTTAAACTTCTTCAAATTCCTCACACTTCATGATTCCATTCATCTCAAGTCCTTTGTATGTACTCGTCCATTTCTGCATTGCTCTGCCTTCCCTCTTCTCCTGGGAAGCCTTCTCTAGACCCCAAATAATCCAAACCTACACAAGATCCTCCTCAAATAGTCTGCCATAACATTCTATACATTTCATGTACTTTCATCTCATTTTGATTATATATTTGTGTAATTAGTTGATTAACGTCTGTGTTTATTACCGGACCATAAGCAACATGAAGGCAGCAATGATATTAATTTGTTTATCATTATATCTACAGCATCTTGTACTGTATTCACCAGATAATAGATAATAAATATTTGTTCAAATCCCATTAAAAAGTGGTCAAAGGACATGCACAGACACTTTTCAAAAGAAGACATACATGTGCCCGATGAGTATATGATAAAAAGTTCAACGTTACTGATCATTAGAGAAATGCGAATCAAAACCACGATGAGATACCACCTCACACTAGTCAAAATGGGTATTAGTAAAAAGTCCAAAACTTACAGATGTCTGGTGAGGTTGCAGAGCAAAAGGAATGCTTATACACTGTTGTTGAGAGTGTAAATTAGTTCATCCATTGCAGAAGACAGTGTGACAATTCCTCAAAGACCTAAAAACAGAAATACCATTTGACCCAGCAATCCCATTCTTGGGTATATCCCAAAGGAATAGAAATTGTTCTGTCATAAAGACACATGCATGCATATGTTCATTGCAGCGCTATTCACAAGAGCAAAGACATGGAATCAACCTAAATACCCATCAGTGGCAGAGTGGATAAAGAAAATGTGGTACATATGCACCATGGAATACTATATAGCCATAAAAAATAATGAGATCATGTCCTTTGAAGGGACGTGGATGGATGTGGAGCCCATTATTCTTAGCAAACTAATGCAGGAATAGAAAACCAAATACCACATGTTCTCACTTGTAAGTGGGAGCTAAATGATGAGAACACATGAACATTAGAGGGTATATCCTGGCAAATACATGCATAGGAAATTTTCCTCAAATCTAGGATCCAGAAGGTCACATATCTGTGAAAATGAATAAACAGAAAGCAGAATTCTGATTAGGGGAGTTTTAGACAGATTCTGAAAAAAACTTCAGATGGATTTTGATGGGAGCTCTCTTTTTCTTTCTCTTATATCAATTGGTGACTCCGTGATCAGAATCAAAGTCCTGTTTCTCAGGTACAGGGACACATATATGTGTGGTTCAAAATTAGTTATATGCTTTTTGCCTCTAATAATAAATTATTTTATCACCTGATTGTAATAAGTGTGTGTATGTGTGGTTACGGCGGATGACGGTGATGTGTGTATTTGTCTGGCTCCACGTGCAAAACAAACAAACAAACAAAAAAAAAAAAACATGCCTCTTATTGCGGTAGGGAAACTACAAACAAAAGATTTTCTGGAAATTATAATTTCTGCTACGTTCGAAGGTCCTGACAACTCTGAGACATTATGATTATACTTTTTCATATTTAAGAATTAACACCTAAAATAGATAGGTGATACCTTGAGATCCAAGAGAAGTATCACCAAGGTTGCCTTTGGTTGACAAATATACTAGAAGATCTATTCTCACAAATGGCATGAAGGGTGAAGGTGCTATCACTAATACCGGTAAATCGAGTTGCCTGATTGTCTAATTCCATAATGCTAATATAAATTCTGTTTTTCATAATTACCTAGGGATTCACATAAAAGATAATAGGAAAAAAATATAGGCAAAAATCAATGTAAATTTTAAGTCATTTGTACCAACTCATGTTATGTTGCTGTCCCATACTGAATCGGATGGTGGAGAGGTCTGGAACTCAAGATCATAAAACCTCATTAATTTGTTTTTCCAAACTCAGGATAATTTGTATTCAGTTGATTATAAAGTTTGCTTTTATATAATTCATCAGAAAATGGCTTGCTAAGCAAATGAATATCATATACAAGATTACAGACATAATGTTTATCCTTCTTAAGTCAAACTGTTCAAGTACTTAAAATCATTTGCATATAAGCAATTACTGGGCTCAATACAAGAGATGCTTATGTATTCGTTAGAGAAATTCCTGTGGGACCTACTTGGCAAGGCTTTGGGTGTGATTAAACATAAATTATATTATTCACAAATGATTGAATACAAGCAGCACACATTTAGAAAAGTTCTGTTTATTAATAGCAGGTTATTTCCTTTATCTTTCTTTCTAACTTCCTCATGTGTAGATGCAGATTTACATCAGATACAATATGTTCCATATATTTTTGACAAATAAATTTCCATTTTCTCTACATATTCCTCAACTTGGAATTTTCAGAAATTCTTACTGGCCTTTTCCTATTTATTTTCAACTAGTCTTCCAATGAATGCAACCACCACAGGAGTCTGAGACAAAACAAGCACTTCAGAAGCACCTGCAAGAGAATGGATCCTCACTCAGGACCCACCTCTTCAATCACAAGTCTGGCCAGCTGGGTAATGAGTCCAATAATTCCAATGGGGCCTCATTTGCAATGGGAAGACCCTGTAAGCCAGATGTCCATGGAAAGTGTCATCTACCTTATTCCAAACAGTGCCTTAAATGAAAGACCTTGGATGCTTCATATAACTTAAACTTTAATGACAAATCCTCAGTGTATTCTAATTATAGAAGAGAAATGACAGGCATGAAAAGACATGGCCAAGACTGGCAGGAAAATCAGAGAAGGTCTGGAAAGAAAAGCAGCAGAAAATGGGCCTATATCAAACTAGGCAAATGGCAAAGCAGCTATTGGGCATTTTAGTTTCTGCAATGATGTATATTTTGATATATTTTGTCTCCCTAAAATAAAAACTTTGCTGCAGTCTATAATATGCATACAAAAAATCCAAGCCCCATGAGGATGGGTTTTTATGTCAGAAAAGGGAAGTGATTCAATGAAAACTGTATCATAAATAGAATTATGGGAATATCTTGCAAGTTATAAATGCAAGTATTATCATCATTATCCAGAGGGTATTCAATCAATGCCTGCTGATAAAGAATTCTTAAGCGTTCACTAAACTTTTAATGCCTTTCTTGTCACTTATCACTGACAGATGCCATGGGGCATTTTGTATAGGATTTAATAAAGTCAATGCTCATCAAAAAATCAATTAAAATGAAAGCTGCCTGTAGGCCAACTTCTTCCCTAGGTGACAAGGACAGCATGTTCTCCTGATACCAACTTTACCTCCATGTTGATCAAGCAATTCTCAGAAGTTGTGGGTAACTCAGGATATCCATGACCACCACACAACACTAGATAGATCTTCCAGAGTCCTAAACTATCTCTCATACAGCTAGCCGTCCCTCCCCCTTTCCCCAAAACATATTGGGAGAGTAATGACAATGCTGGTGTTTTAAGGGAAAAATAATATTTTGGGGTTTTTTTAACTGAAGAATTATACCCAAACTATGTATACAAATGGCATCCAGAGGAAACAATAAAATACTACATTCTCAGTCAGAATGTTCATTGCTAACAAACAACAAAAAAGTGGAGGAGCTTAGGCAACGCTGGTGTACTGATGTGAGTGTAAATCATCATTGCAGGTTATGGGCCCCTCAACTAATATTTGTGTAGCACTTGACATTGACAAAACACTGTTACATAATTATCACATTTGAAATCAAAGCAAATCTATAAAGTTGCATTTTACTATTATCACTAATTTATACACAATGAAATGGAAACTGAAAGAGGGTCTATGACTTATTCAAGCCTATGAAGCCAAGCAGAGGCAAAGCTGGGCTCAAACCCAGTCCTTCTGCCTCCAGGTACTCTGCTTCCCTTCTCCATCCAAGCTGTCTCTGTAGATTTCCACTGGACTGGAGAAACTGTCAAATACTTTCAGGCCCTGCGCAAGTTCGGTGCTTTTCAGAATAAAGAATTTAATGCTGTCAGAATGCTGTGCTGAGAATTTGGAGTGGGTCCGCTCAGCAGGTGAATGTCGGCAGTGAGGCCTTCTCACTGGGCTCAGTTTCTCTGCATGGACATCAAAAATGTCCATTTTATCTAGAACTCTTAGCAGTATAGGGCCTATATTTAAAATAAAAAATGTTCTTCTCCTCTAGGCCTGGTTCAAGTGCTGAACTTGCAGCAATGTGGAATCTGAGTCTCCACCCCAGGACTATTAAATTAGAACCTGCAATTTTCACAAGGTCCTTCGGTGATCCATGTGCCCATTAAAAGTTTAAGAAGCATCACTCTCACTGGAAATTGTATTCTAGTAGATTATGGATCCTAACACTATCAGAAGTTTGGGACTATGAGTCAAATATCACCCGCTGATATGCTATGGTCATTAGATGCCCCTCTAGATTCACCATATTCATTTTACACTACATATATATCAGTATGTTTCCCTCTCAAAGGAATAAGAGGAACACAGTGGTTAGCCAGAACAAATAAAAGACAAGCAGAGCTGAAGCTAGGTGACTTGATGTTTTCTGCAATAGAATGTTGAAGAGAGAGTATTACAGAATTGGCAGAGTATTTTAATATAAGTATCTTTTTTTTTTCAGAAATAATCGTCTCTTAACTAATCCTTTCGTGAGCAAAGGAATGAAATACCACATGATGGTATCAGTTTTATTTAGTCCTGAAAAGAAGCATGGGATTATCTGTAAGCACCAACAAAACATACTATGCAAGTTATCTGGAAGCTTCAGTGCACACTGATAACTCTGCCCCTGGACTTACTTTAGAGATGCTATATATCTCATTATGACATGCTTTTTAGATGATGTGTATTATTCTGAAATGATAAGTTGCCTTTACAAAACAAATGTCAGCAGCCTGTATCAGGTTTCAAAAGTTTCCATCAATAACATATAACTAGAAGTTGGCAGTAGTTTTGGAGATTTGCTTTCCGAATCCCAGGATTGTGGAGTTGGGAGTGAAGTAGAAACCTCTCATTGCAAGGAGGACATGAATAACTAGGTAGAGCATCAAGCCCAGATCAGCATGTCTTTAGAAACTGATAAAAGCTGGTGTCCACGTTAAATTGAACATCAACAAACTGGAAGGCCAAAAAGGAAGAGTGTTGCAGTTAACTGTCTATGACTGTGACGACTAGACCCCGATGATGTTCCACTTGGCATCTTAGTCCATTTTCTTAGCAACAACTGAAATCTATTCTAACTCTACAAGGTCACCATGTAAACAGTATGGCCCAAACAACAACAACAACAAATCCTCCTTAAATTACAAGATAAAAGCTCCTTCAGAGAAAATTAAGCAGATATGAAAAAAAAAAGTTCCAGCAAGAAGTTCTGCTTTTTAATTAATAAATGTTAGTTTAAAGATTTTGAATTAATGATCAATGAATGAATGGAGGCAGTAACTGTTACTACTCCCAGCCAAGTTTTCTAACTAGAGCCCTCTTCTCTGCTAAAATGTTGAGGGTGTTTTGCTTTGCTGTGATCCCCTTCCACAGCAGCAATGAGGTTCATCAAAGTCAATAACATGGAAAAATTGTTATCTTCCAAGCATTTCTGCTGAGATGAGTAGCGTACACAGAATGAATGATATTTTTAAAATTGTAGCCAGTTGTACAGAACTGAAATGGAATCTGTAATACAGAAAATTGAAAAGTAAATTTATAATTGTCATAAAACTCCCAACAGTGCAGCAAAGCATGTGCCCTGGAAGAAACAAAGCTTTTCCTGTAATTGAAGGAAGGATCACAAGCCAGGGCACAAAAATGGATCTTTATGCAGCAAGGAGAGAAGTATTGGTGAAACCATATTCTGTAGAGGCACATTCACACACAACTATCAAGGTCACCAACAATGATATTATCTTAGAAAATGTGAGATCTGCATCTATGTACACACATACATTTCAAAACTCCATGTAAATTTTCCAAGGAACAGCACAAAAGTGAGGATGAGGAAACTGTTAATATTAAGAAACATTTACAGAGAATCTGCTAGCATAAAACACTCAGGAATATCAGTGATAGAAGTAAGATATCTGCATTAGCTATAAAAGCAACCATATTCATGAGTACTTTATGTTCCATTTAAATCACTTTTGAAATTACATTTTCTTGGAGGAAATGATCTCCTCATCACCTCTTATGCATTTTCACATGAATCCAGTTATATCGGTCACAGGATATTCCTTGTTAAATAAAAAATAATTAGTTCCTTTTCTAAAATGGATGCAATAATTCAAAAGAATAGTAGCCCTCATCTCTTGGGGGAGAAAATGAATTCGCAAAAGTAAAGTCTCTCAGAACTTTCAACACCAGATATCATGAATGTGGTGGCCTTTTGTAAGAGGTTAGAGTTGAAATGAGAGATGAAGCTGACCTGAATTTACCAGAAAGAAGAAATCAGAGCACTGAGTGTTTCCATATTCCAAAGCAGAACAATTATGAAGGAAATAAATTATGATAAGACGCATAGCTCTGGTGCAAGCACATAAAAGCATAAAGAATTACCAAATTAGAGCAAGTTCATGATTCATCCAGGACAGTATTCAGACTCTAAAAGCGTTAACTAGTAAATGCATACTTGCTGACCTGAAAAAAAAACTAAACTCCTACCCCTAAAATTGTGCATTGTGTATTTATCTCAGTTAGCAGAAGTCTTGTGCTAAAGTTAATCCCCAATGCAGAATCTTTTGTCACAGCAAACAGTTTTGTAAAGAAAATTGTTTGTAAATCTATTAGCAGTAGATCCAAGGTTTAGAAAATATTCAAACTCATAGCCAAAATATAAAATATATCTTTTTTCATGTTATGAAATGTTATAAAGGCATAGAAAAGGAAAAAAGGGAAGACAGGTAGGGAAAAGGAAGGGAAGAAGGAGGCAAAAATAAGAGGCATTGCTGAGTTTTCTAGTGCTCCCTGAATTTCTAAATTAAATTCAAAAGTAAAAGTTTCCAAAATAATGTCAGCCAGTGATTGTTAATAAAAGAGAAATCGTTCCTATTAGTCAGCTTATTATTTTTTCTAAGTTTAATTCTACTGCTCAGAAGTGTAGCCACAGAAGACATAAATTTGAAATGAAAATAATGCCTTTATTAGCTGTATAAAGGTGAAGCACATTACAGCAAGAAGAGATGACATTGCTGAAAGTAGTAACTTTGAAGTGATAAGGAAAAATGAACAGGGGAGGAGAAGAAAAGAATTGGAAGAAATGGAGCAGGAAGAACATTATTTCGTGTAAATTAAAATTAAATGTAAAAGGATGACAGTAGCTCTGATCTTGTCAGGCTGAGGTATTTTCATGGCAGACTGTAATAGGAGAATTATAAGTAATTTTCAAACCACAGGTCTGCAAGCATGCATACCTTTTCTCTCTTATGATTGTTGATCAGGATTTTTTCACAGAGAAAAATAAATTCTAAAGTATCAGTTTCATAAATCCCTGCCCAAATCGGGAGCTGTTTGGTCCCTGTCAATGACAGACAGTCCCATGCAAGCCACAGGCAACATTCAGCCATGACTATTTTGTTGTTGGTGGCGGTCTCACTTGATACTACTCCTCCTGAAGCCCCTCTCTCAGACAGAATACAGATTGCTCTCCTTTCCAAGGTGTCTCTCTGATTTACCTATTGTACCCTGCCCCCTTCCCTGCCCAGTTTGAAGCCCTTGGGTCTCTACATCCCATGCTGTTGCCCTCTCACCAGGGGGTTGTCAATGTCATGCCAAGATCTCTCCCCCACCTTCCAACTCACCTTCTCTAGGTCCACATGGACAATGCTCTTGAATCTGTCTCCTCTCTTCTAATAATCACTAACACATAATGCTTGCTATGTGCCAGGCATATTTATATATATCAATATATTTAAAATATTTATCCTCAAAACCACCCTATGTGGTTGGTATAGTTATGACCCTCACTTTATCAGTGAAGAACCTGAGCACAGAGAGAGTAAGTGGCTTGTCCAAGTCACACAACTGGGAAGGGATCTGAATTCAGAAAAGTCTGGCCCCATAATCCTCTCTCCTAACAATGGCGTTCCACAGCAGTGGTTTCTTTTCAAGTATTCATTAATTCAACAAGCATTTACTTTAGTATTATTATGTGCCAGTAAATGTGCTAGGTTCTAATGGTATATCAATTAATATAAGAGGGCTGAGGAGCCAGCCATGCCGTGGGCAGCAGGGGTGAGACCAGGGAGAGGGAAGAGCATGGTCAAAGTAGGGAAAAGCATCCCATACGGGAACTTAAGGAAAGGTTGTGGGGCCAGAGCAAGGTGGATGAGAAGAGAAGTAGGATTCTATTAGAAAAGAAGTAAATCACTTTAGTCTATGTAGGTTTTCATTTTGTGCAAAGTGCAAGGGAAAGCCATTAACAGGGTTTTACGCTACAGAATAGGGGGATCAGACTTACACTTTTAAGAAGCTTCTCTGTCCGCATTGTGGAAAATGGATTGTAGAAGCAAAAGTGGATATGGAGAGACATAGAAGGCTGTTGTCACAGAATCATCTAGAAACAATGGTGGCTAGGTGGCCATGCTGGAGGTGGTGGAATGGTGTTTCAGAAGCTGAGTTGACAGGATTGGTGTTGGAGTAAATGTGGGAGTGGATGAAAAAGGCAGAACCTGGAGATGACTCCTCTGGCAGATGGGGGGCTCTTTTCTAAGATGAGAAAGACTGGAAGAGAAAGAGTTGAAATCAAGAGCTCAGGAATTTTTTTTGTTTATTTGTTTGAGATGAAGTCTTGCTCTGTCACCCAGGCTGGAGTACAGTGGCACAATCTCAGCTCACTGCAGCCTTTGCCTCCCAGATTCAAATGATTCTCCTGCCTCAGCCTCCCGGGTAACTGGGACTAGAGGCACCCGCCACCATGACCAGCTAATTTTTGTATGTTTAGTAGAGAGGGGGTTTCACCATGTTGGCCAGGCTGGTCTTGAAATCCTGACCTCAAGTGATCCACCCGCCTTGGCCTCCCAAAATGCTGGGATTACAGGTGTGAGCCACCATGCCTGGCCAAGAGTTCAGTTCTGAAAGGTGATCTTAAGCATCCACCTTTGTGTATAATCAAAATATGACTTGACTAGCCTCACAATGGGAGACAATAATAGAACTCCCAGAATGCTTTAAAATCTGAGCAAAAAGAAAGCATATTATCTTCCTAGGAGGGGACTCCAAAGAGGGAATAACTCCTACAATTTCCCTCCCAATGCAGGATCCCCTGGTGTAGTTGCAACAGAGAAAAGTTTGTCAGAGAGCACCTGAGGCAGTCAAACAGACATCCTTTGCCCAGCCAGCAATAGCATGGGAGGGAAGCCCAATCTCTCTGGTCCCTAGAAGCACGCAGAACTTAGCTGAAAGGGAGTCCTTGAAGCGTCCTGGGGTCAGAACAAGGAACCTCCCTGCAGCAGAGCACTTTGCAGCCAGCCACCAAATGGTAACACTGACATCTCCGATGATGGTAGCAAGGAGTGATACCAAAGGCCAAACACCAGACTGAATGAGTGACATCTCAGTTAGTGAATGCATGTATGGAGAAAAGATAGCTTGGACCAGCATCAGGACATTGACAATGACGCTCACTTGGAGAAGAAGGCAGGGGAGTTAATTAATTAATCTAGTTAATTAATTCCTTTAACATCTAAAACAATAGAATGAAGGTGACTACATTTGTCAGGAAACTATTACAATTATGTATGTTGCCTTTAAGTAGACTATGGATTGATGAGTTTTGAAAAGTAGTTATATTTATTCAAACAGCTAGGTAAATTTACCTGCATATTTGTACTGAGTACAACAGTAAGGATTCATTGGCCTTTGTCCCTCAAACCCTTTCACAATCTTCTGGGAGGTTCTGCAAAGCATTTCACATGAACTCATGAACGACTCTACCAATGCCATTCAGCTCATTCAACAACTACCCCTAGTTGCATTACCAGGGTTGCTTCCCCTAAGAAGGGATCTCAAAGTAGGGCTGCTTGGACCTTGATATCTTATGATGACTTGAATCCAGTAACTTTTCACTTTGAGCTCTCAGACACAGACACATCCCCTCTGCCAAACACATCTACATCCACCATATGACTCAGCTACATGTCTAATAGAAGTTACGCTGAGAGGCTTGGCATGGTGGCTCATGCCTGTAATCCCAGCAATTTGGGAGGACGAAGGAAGCGGATCACTTAAGGTCAAGAGTTCAAGACCAGCCTGGCCAACATGGTGAAACCCCATCTCTACTAAAAATACAAAAATTAGCCAGATGTGGTGGCAGGTGCCTGTCATCCCAGCTACTTGGGAGGCTGAGGCAGGAGAATTGCTTTAACCTGGGAGGCAGAGGCTGCAGTGAGCTGAGATTGCACCATTGCACTCCAGCCTTGTATGCTCTTGCACTCAAACAAGAAATCTTCATTACTGGATGAAAATCAAATTCCTTTGAGAATAAATTATCTCACCAAGAAGACCATTGGTCTCTCTAGAAAGAAACTTCTAGCAGGCATACCAGCATATCTGTTATGCTTATTTGTCTAAGTCTCTTTGACTCAAGCTAGACCCCAACCACTCAAATAACTGACAAAAGTCTTAGAAATTGTCGCCCAGGTACGAAGAAGCTGAGCACCTGGTTAGGCTTTTGGAAAAAGAATTTTGATGCAACTGGGTTCTTATGGTGACTGTCCCTTCACAGATTTTTTTAATGCAAGTGTCACCAAACCCATTATAAAGACAACCAGTGACCATAATGACATGTTTATGCAGTGTTGCCAACCACTGACTCTTGAATAACCAGATGGGCTCTGTACTGAGGTTCTCCTCTTCTTCCTCCTTTTTATCCTTCTTTTTTTGCCTGTAACTCCAGGGTAGAATTTAGGTGGTAGCTTACATATCATTTCTTCTTTCATTCATTTACTCAGAAAATATTTAAGGAGGGCCTCTTAAGTGCCAAGCTTTGGTTCTAGGTTGCTTGCAAAACATCAGTAAAAAAGACAAAAAGGTCATTGAGCTGATATTCTAAAGGGGGTGGATGAAGGAAAATAGACAATACAAAAATCATTTGCTATGGTTAAAATAATCCAGAGTGATTGGATAAAGAACACCTAGGGGAGTAGCATAGTTCTTTCTGTAGTCTTAGCAGAATCTAACTTCAAAATCAGAACTATTATGCCTCCAGACTTAGCCAATTATTTGCATCATCCTACCCTTTGCAATTTTAGGTGACTGATCTATGTGGGGAATTGTAATATCATTAATAGTTATTCATTTTAAACTCTAAACTCACCACTGCCATGAGACCAATTTAACAGCATGGTATACGTAACGGTACAGTGGGTGAGAAGGGGTACAGGCTTCAAAGTCAAGTACAGGAGGGCTCCAGTCCCTCATCTGCATCTTGCTATCTTGGTGCCCTTGGGCAAGTCACTTGATTTCATGAAACCTCATTTTACTTATCTGCAAGATCACGGTAGGAACACTTAACTCGAAGTTTTGTTATACAGAGCAAAATGATAATAAAATTAAATCACATATGTTTACTTGTTTTGATTGAAGAATCTAAACTCATTAAACTATAAACATGGAATTATTTTCCCATCTTCCCAAATAATACCTATCAAATGTCTCCTTTCACCTTCTTTTTACCTAGGTACAAGCTCCTTATAGATCTCTCACCTCATTCTTATGACATTTCTTCAGTTTGGGTTAAGATTTTCTTATATTTATTTAAACACCTCCCTCTTCCACAAAAGCAGGACACACTACTGACTAGAAGTGTTTGAGGGTAGGGAGGAAGGGGTGTGTTCTCCAGAGAAAGCACTCTCCATCGAAGCTTCAGCAGCAGTGAGAGGAGGCAGGGAGAGAAATAGTTACTGGAGCAACCACGATGGTGGGTGACAGGCCCACCATTCTCTTTCTTTAGGTTGTTGCTATTTTCTCTGTTGAACATTGACTACTTGGCAATTTCACCTTTGAGAGAGTTATCCAAGCATTGGCTCTTTGTACGTTCTTGGAGGGCCTTTTTGGCCTCTCCCACTGCATGTCCCTTGGCTAGGAGACCAGGTTATAGCTAAGGCTATTCCTTCTTGCCTTAACACCAGCTGGAGCAGAAAGGTATCTACAGTACTGCCTAAATCACAGCCACAATTAGTGGTGTTTTTCCAACTCATAGGAAATTCCCATGTTCTTACTAAATATAGGGTTTAAAGCTGAGCCCCTGACATTCCACTCACACCTCTGACATCTCTCTCCTGCCCTTTTATCCAAGCTCAGAATTACCAGATAGTAGGTTAGCTCATGGTTCAGCAGCTTTCAGAAAGGAGAAGGTCATGAGCTGTAGACCTTTTGGAAAGGAAATAATTCAGGCATTCACTACCAACACCCACTCAGAATTCATACATTGAAATCCTAACCACTAATGTGATGGTATTAGGAAGCAGAGCCTTTGGGAAGTGATTGGTCATGAGAGTGCAGCCTCCATGAATGAAACAAGTGCCCTTACAAAAGAGACCAGGGAGAGCTCTCTCACCCTCCTTCCATCATGTGCACATACAAAGAAGTCAGCAGTCTAGACCCCGGAAGAGGGCCTCCACCAGATACTGATCATGTTGCCACCCTGATCTCAAACTTCCAGCCTCTAGAACTGTGAAAAATAAATAAGCCACCTAGTCTATGGTATTTTGTTATAGCAACTCAAACTGACTCAGAGATCTACTTAATACACCAATGTCAAAATCTATTTCTGAGGCTTAAGACACATCTCACCACTCCTAACATTAATGTCAAAATCCTTATACCAGGGCCTGTCAGTCACCACAGAATCTGATCCAGACCACAACTCCAGCTCTGTCCCATGCCATTCCCACCCCTTGCTGCCTGTATTCCTGCCCCACTATCTTCTTTAAGATCATCAAACTGCCAGGCTACTCTTCATCTCAGTATAAAAATAGACAAAGAGTCTTCAAGACAGAATTCTGAGGAACACCAATATTTTACTGTAGATTAAAAGAAGGAGAAGACAGTAAAGAAAACAGAAGTATCCAGTGAAGTAGAAAAAAAAAAACAGAAAATATGTTATGGCAGAAGCAAAATAACGAATGCATTTCTAAGTAAAATAAGTGGTTTACCTAATTAAATGCTGCTAAATGAAGCCCAAGAATTTGACCAGCTAGAAGAGACTGGAGACCTTGAAATAAATGTTCTGGTAGAGAGATGAGGTCAGAAGGTAGATTGAAGTACCATAAAGATGAGTGGGAGGGAAAGAATGAGATAATCTTATTTGATAGCAGGAGTAATATTTATTAGCACTTAAATTATTTTAATTTAAAGTGGCTTTAACTCTTTGCCAAGCACTATGCTAAGCACTTTGCAAGCATTTTCTCATTAAGTCCTCACTTAACACTATTTGGCAAGGAAACTAAAATTTAGAGGGACTAAATAAATTGCACAACCACACAGCTAAAAAGCTGTGGGAGACTGAATAATGGCCCCCAAATATATCCAGGTCCTAATCCCTGGAACTCGTAGTGTTACTTTATATTAAAAAAAAAAAAAAGGCTTTACCGATGTGATTAAGGATCTTGAAATGGAAACATTAACTTGGGTTATCAAGGTGGGCCCTAAATATGCTCAAAAGTGTCCCAAGAGGGAGGCAGAAGGAGATTTGACACAAAAGAGAGAAGACAATGTCATGGCCTCAGCAGAGAGGGAGATTTGAAGATGCTACAGTGCTGGCTTTGAAGGATGGGGTGGGGAGCAAAAGAATGCAAGGAATGCAATTCTAAAAGTTGGAAAAGGCGAGGAAACAGATACACTTAGAGCCTTCATAGGGAGGACAGCTCTGAAATTAAGATATCTTAACTTCAGCCCAGGAAATGGGTTTCAGAATTCTGACCTCCAGAACTAAAAAATAATAAATGCCTGTTGCTTTAAGCCACCAAATTTGGATTATTTGTTACAGAAACCACTGGAAACTAATATAGAAGTGATCATAATTCGATCTCCAATATAGTTCTACAACAAATCTAAGGGTCACACATATGGAAGGAAAACACAGAAAGGGCAGGAGGAAAAAGAAAGAGATAGAGAAGAATACAGAACAGAGAATTGAAGGGAAGAGGAAGAGAGGGGAGGGGAAAAAGTGTGAGGAGTTGCGAACAGGAGCAGAGAGAATAAGACCCCAAACATTGTTAAAGTCCATGGCAACTTCATCTTAAGGACTATTATCCCCACCTGAGTCAGAATGAGTTGGCATTGGCCCATAGCTACAAGTTATCTCCAGGGGGTAAAATTCCAGTGCAGAATAACCTATAAATACTGTGGCATCGCAGCTAGAGAGAAAACAGATTGATGTAGTCCTAGTTTGGAGGTCAATTGGCTCAGTAACTGTTAGAAGCAGCCAACAGTTAAAGACACAAATATTACACGGTTGGAGATAAAGTTCCAAAAAGAACAAATTGATTCATTTTGTACCACGAACTCAACTCAAAGTAAAGCCCTACTTCGCTTTTTAAGATATATTTTGTAAGGTTTTCATTTTTTGTTTTATGTTATTATCCTGTTATGACTTATTAATGGCTATCATTTGCTATAGTGAAATCGTATTGAGACTTTTCACTCAAATGCTCTAAATAATTAATCTATTTTCAAGAACGCTTTATAAATGCATTGTTATTTAATTATCTTATTTAATTTCATGTTTAAATAATGCTCTGGTATATATGAATCAATGGCCACATCTTAAAAGACATACCTGTATCCAATATTCAATAAAAGAAAAGGAAATTTAGCAGGAAAATGAATGATTTGTGTGTCTAACACCACCATTTAAACAACCTGAAACTCACGGCAACATTTGTCCCTTAGGTTCAAGGATGTATCCGAGGGTAGTCATGAAAATTCAATTCTTAACGCTGACTTGCTGTGCTCTCACAGGATTCTTTTCCTAGTTAGAGTTACAACATTTTTCCTTAGGAAATGAGACAATGCATTTTGAAGTTCTCTAAGGTTAGGAAGAGATTAGGGAAGAAACATTTGCAGTCCATATATAGATTCTAAATACCCATAGAATGATGATTTTCCTAATTTTCTAACAAATATTTCTTATATTATGGAGCTAAAAGCTACATTTTTAAGGGAGAATTGAGAATAAGGAGAAATGGTAAGGTACATTTGTGGGAAGAAACGCATTTAATTCAGTCTCTCCCTTTCAAAAACAGAAAGGGAAACAGCAATCAACACAACATATGGAGTATCTGTTTTTCGATAAAAATGCCAGGTAAAGAGGTCTTATTTAAATCCACACAGACAGTATTATCCTCCCCTTCTGAAGATTGTTTTTCCCCAGGCACAAAAGGTCAGGCATATTGTTGAGTCTGTTACCCAAAGACCCGAGTAACAGTGACATCTAGTGGTGCACGGTGATATAGGACGTAGAAACGCAAACGCTTGCTGAGAGCCCAGAGCAAAAAACCCTAGAAGGAAGCTGCTAAATTTAAAGTTTCCTGATTTCTGTGGCAACAAAATTGTATTCTAATGTAATCAGTTACTCCTGTCTCACAGGGAATGATATTGTTCTGGGTCAACATTTGGGACATGGAAAAGTCACTTCGTATTCACTGCTGGGGAAATGAGGAAACCTATAGTCAAATCCCACCACTTTGGTTTTGGAATTGGAAATGTAACAATATTGCTGGGATTTTTTTTTAAAGAGCATCATCAATCTGACCACAAAAGGTTATGCTCCTCAGACAGGAGAAAGGCAACTGAATACGCTTGTAAATGCCAATCCTAAAAATCTATCCAAAGATATTAAATTTCTCATTTTTAAATTTTATTTCTCTACAGACTATTTTCTCGTGTCTAAAAAAGAGGCCATCTCAGGCCGCTCTGTAGCAGCTCAAACTCTGGCACTCAGCCCATTGCCTTAGACCTACTGGCTACACCGTTCTGCCCTTCTCTGCTGCAGGTGCCAGCCACAGCATCCTTTTGTCTGGTTGCCAAATCAGTAATCTCTCTTGGCATCTGCCTTTTCTACCCCCTTCCCCCATTCTCCCCCTCCATCAAGAAATCTAATTCCAAGTTGGCAGGCAGAAGGTCAGAAATCTTTGAAAGCCTCAGCTTCCACCGCCCACTCTCGAGTCTCGCCTCTGTGCATTCTGCCAAATGCCAACTTGCTTTTCTCCCTCCTCCATAACATCCTGTATCTCTGGAACGCTGAGGTTGTCACCTGAATCTTGCCCTCACATCTGCTTCCTTCCCCTCCCTCGGCAGCAGGGCCCTCTTTCATTAGTAACATCCTGCCGCGTCTCCCCAAGGCTCAGCACATCTTGTCATCCGTCCCTGGCATACACAGTCTCTTCCTAGTTATCAACTTTGGGACTCGCCTCCATCAGAGGTATCTGGAGACCAGAGCTGGCCCAGAGCAACTGGGGAAGGCAAGCTGACGGCCCCCTGAAATCCACATAATTGCATCTTTGAAAAGTGGGCCACATGACAGCAAAGAACTGAAAACTAGTGTGACAGAGAAGACAAAAGACAAAAATCACACCCAACTCCAATAGATGACAGTTTTGTTTCTTTGTTTACATTTTGAAGTGACATGTTCAGGGAGACTTTAGAATAGTCTTTTAGGGAAAAAAAATTAATATCTTGCATGATTTGTTCACTATGAAAGAATTTTTTAAAACACATGCACTAGGAATTTTATATCATTTTTTAGTTTTAAAAAGATGACCATGTCAGTGTTTCATTTTGAAGCTACGAATTGCATATAAATTATATCAACAAAAATAGGATTCTCATCTCAATTGTTTCTAACCTCTTGTAACCACTGTGCCATCCTTATTGCTTCTCTCTAAAAATAGCAAAGTCGGAGCTAACTTAAAAAGAAGTAATAAGAAAAAGACAGCAGTAGAAAAGCTGAAAAGAAATTAAAGGCAAGTATTACCTCTCATAAATATCCACTAAGCAGAAGCTGAACAAATTAACTTCAAAACCATTGAAACTAGGGAAATACCCTCTTGCAGCAAGTCAGAAGATGAAAAAAATCACTAGTAAGAAAACGTGAAGTTAGATAAAGTCTTTTTTTTTTTTGAGATGGAGTCTCACTCTTGTCACCCAGGCTGGAGTGCAAAGGCGTGATCTCAGCTCACTGCAACCTCCGCCTCCTAGGTTCAAGTGATTCTCTTGCCTTAGCCTCCCAAGTAGCTGGGTTAACAGGCGTCCGCCACCACGCCTGGCTAATTTTTGTATTTTTGTAGAGACAGGGTTGCACCATGTTGGCCAGAATGGTCTTGAACTCCTGACCTCAGATGATCCACCCGCCTCGGCCTCCCAAAGTGCTGGGATTACAGGCGTGAGCCACCGTGCCCGGCCATAGATAAAAGTCTTTAAAATGCACTTTAGAGATATTATTACTGCCGTGTTGCTCTGTTTCACATGTAGCATAGTGTTAAGACTCTTCACAAAATTGTTTAAACTGGGTTATTATATGAAAATCATTTAGAGCCACCTAATTCTTTAACTTATGATGAAACAGAAGTCCAAAGATTAAGTTTTGTTTTGTTTTGTTTTTTTTGCAATAGCAAAGCAGAAACCAGAACCTAACTTTCCAATTCCCAATCCTGTATTATATGCACACCTATGTAGCATTTTTAAATATTAAAAAATATGATTGCATTGAATAGATGATTTCTGCCTTACTCAATTTTCCATTTCTAAAATAAACATGATTGCAATCATGAAATCCTAACTATTCACCACTAAATCAATGAAATCCTATGATTTGGCACAGGATTGGAACAAAAGATAAAATAAGCCCTTTAGAAAAAGCCCTTAAAATGTCGAAATCGCATCATATCAGACAACACTCTTTCCCAGAGTGTATAAAAGGAAAAACAAAAGAATATAGACTCAGACTAAGCTGAAGAACCAAATCTGGAAAGAGTGACATTGATTTCAAGGATCAGACTTCATATATTGAGGGTCCATGTGGGTGGAAGTGTTGGGCAAGCACACTGTGTTTGGAACTACCTTTAAACTCACCATGTTTTATTTGTGTTACTAAGACATTCAGGTTGTGTATTAGTCTGTTCTCACAGACTATACAGAACCACCTGAGACTGGGTAATTTGTAAAGAAAGGAGGTTTAATTGATTCACAGTTCCACAGACTGTACAGGAGGCATGGCTGGGGAGGCCTCAGGAAACTTACAATCATGGCAGAAGGGCAAACGGGAAGCAAGCACCTCTTCACATAACAGCAGGAGAGACAGCGCACGAAGACTGGGGGGTGCTACACACTTTTCAAACAACCAGCTCTTGTGAGAACTCTATCACAAGACAGCACTAGGGTGATGGTGCTAAACCATTAGAAACCACCCCCGTGATCCAATCACCTCCCACCAGGCCCCACCTCCAACACTCGAGATCACAATTCAACATGAGATTTGAGTGGGAACACAGAGCCAAAGCATATCAGTTTGGGATGACAGAAAGCCAGTATGTCAGCCAAAAACTAATGCTAAAGAGAAAAGTGCAAGGAATGAACAGCCTTCTGCTAGTTGAAAGAACAATGAAAGGTTTTGCCGTCTTCTATAACTTGAGTGATAGATTGATGGTGAGTGCTTGCCTATGGCAACAGCTCTCAAACACATTTTACATTATTCTTTTGAAAGTGGTATATCGAAATAATTTCCTAACCCCGAAACAAAGAATTCATTGAAACTGGTTGCTGTTTGGTAGAGAAAGAAACTACGGAGTTTCAATATACCTGAGGTGAAATCCCAACCTATCACTTCCTGGCTATGTGACTTCAAGCCCGGCCATTAACTTCACTAAACATCAGTTTCCTCCTTCATTTGGAGAAAACACACATCCATAGTCTCTTACATGAAGTTCTTGTGACTAGATTTCAAGGTTTTTTTAAATTTTATAATAACATAATGTCATGCATATACTGAATTTTATGTGACACCCCAATGTCTGAGGCAGTACTTAGTAAGCAAACATATTGATATTCCTTCAGTAAAATATATCAATAATCCACTGAAAGAGATAAATAAAATGTATTACTATTTTCATGGAATTCAAGTCAGGTATTGCCATCAAAACTACGAAAGGAACTTTCCAATATAGAGCCTCCTAGATTTTGGCATTGTGGATATGGGATTAGTGACATACAAATATATTCATCATAGAGTGATTGCAACAAATGAATGACATATAGAGGATAGGCATCTGTGTGACTATCTAGGGTGAATTATAAATGGGCCCTCATGGAATCCAAGTACAAGCAAGGAAAATCTTTGTTGAGCATGAATTCCTTCTCCTAAGATAACGAACATCCAGTTGTCAAGTGACCTGAGAGACACAACCAGAAAGGTCTTCCACTCTATATTCCCTTCATATCCTAGATCTCAGAGCCCCATGGGAGCTGGCTTCTTCGCAGCTCGGGGAAGGGGAAAAAGGGAAGGAGAACAGGGGAGAGAGGTGTACATCGGCAATGTTTTCTTTCATAAAATCTCCCCCTACCTTCTTTTTCCTCACTACTCCTGTAGGAACCCCCAGTGAAGAGGAAAGTGCTTTGTGGATTACAATTTTAAGGCACATTTGCTACAATGATTTCTTTAATCATGACAGTAGCCAATGAGGGGGAAAGTCTTAAACTACTGTTTGCATGTTTGCAGTTAGTGTCAGGATTTAGGTTTCATACTTTGTGTATTCCCTCTAGGAGGATAACATCATCCTGGGAATTTTTCTGCCTCATGTCAGATCCCTCCCAGGGTCCAGGAAGACCTCCGTCTCTTCTTAGTTCAAAGCTCACGTCTGCCTTTCCAAGCAACCCACTAGCTTCCTGTTTCTAATTTGAAGAACACCTCCAACTCTGCCCAGTGACTCATTCAAAAACATCCCACACACATCCCGTCTTCAATCCCCCTAGGGATCCACCTTCCTGAATTCTGTTACTATGGGTTTTACAATAGAAAATTGCTTCACAGTTTCAGCAGTAAAGGCAGCCATTCAGCTATCACAGTGAGCAAGGATTTGTTCTCTCATGGTTCCTGTGTAGCTTAATAGTAGTCATAGATACTGACAGATATCAAATCTGTCACTTATATACCTAAAATCACTGCGTGAAGATGCAGCTTCATTTGAATCTAAATTCTAATTTCCAAAAGCCCCAGTGACACCAACTGAGACAAGGGTTTGGGGGACAGAATAATTTCTGTGGAAAGGCAACCATTCACCAAATATCTTATGACTTAGACGTTGTGATTTTTAAACATCTTCTTTAAAAGACTATAGTAAGTTAGGATAGGAGTAATCATTTTAAATAATACAGTAATTAAGAATGGCCAATTATGGCTGCTATCATTTTGGTTCAAATTCAAGACTCAGCAATTGTGTGTGTGTGCATATATATATATATACGCATGTATATATAGTCCTGTGTGTTCGCACATGTGCATGTAAACCTCATGCCTTAGATGAATTCAAAAAGCATTAAAACATGGTTTATTCCAATATTGTTGCAAAGAGTGGTTTTCACAGGTAGCAGAGTTATCCAAGTATCTTCTACAAGAAAGACTAATTTATTATGACTATTATTTTTAGCAATTTAACCATATTCTTATTATTTCATAGGCCATAATTTTAATTTGATTCTAAACTTCACCTGTGGGCCCACTGTCATTGTACATGTTATACAAGTAGATTCCTTCTTCCACATTGTATAATGTGTTACTGTATGGCTACTGGGCTTCAGAACACCAGGTGGTGAACACTTGGAGAATTCAAGATGCCATTACCATGGGGACAAGATGCTGGTCCTTCTCAATGCAATCAACACACTTCCTCTTTCAGAAATACTATTTCCACTGGAAAATAAATGAGCTTGGAAATGGAAGCTTTTAGTTTAAAAAATTAAAGACTATTTTCTTAAAACTATTTAATAGTGACAGTCGTGGTTGACACACAAAAGAGAAATATTTAGTAAGGCCTAGTTTTTAAAGACTTGCTTCTGACTTTTGCTTTCTTCACTGGCCAGTAGTAGGTGAGGGAACAATTTTTAAATATCCCGGGCTGCACTGCTCAAGTGTTTGTCCTATGTGGTAGATTACAAAGTGACCATAAATTATTTCTCTTTCTTTTTCTATAGCCATTTGCACTTAACTTTGCAATTCTTGCCCTTTCTTCTTAAATATGGGCTGCCACTGTGCTGTGTCTGACCTTATCTGACTGTGGCAGAGCTACAAGTGTACCAGTACCATACTCTGGGTCCAAGAACCTTGCATTCTTCCACTCTTTTTCTCAGGATCCTGACCAGTTTCCATGTGAACATACCTGGGCTGTCTTGAAGGAAGATGAGAGACGTGGCCCAGGCATCTCCATCTTCACCCCAGCCTACAGCCAGCCAACCCTCAGAAGCAGAACTGCCTAGATAATAGGCAGCTGACTGCAGACTAGTGAAACCAGAAACACCACTGACCCACCGAATCATGAGCTCAATAAACTCACGTTTTAAGCTACTAAAATTTTTACATGGTTTGTTATGTAACAAAAAGCAACTATATATCATATTCTTCTTCATTAGTTCTATCAGTTTTGAAGGACATATTTGTAAATACAAAGATGCTGCTGGATTCTTTCTGTTTTGTTTAGTTTAGTTTTGTTTTTTGTTTGCTTTTTAAGATGGGGTCTCACTCTGTCACCCAGGTTGGAGTGCTGTGGCATGATCTTAGCTCACTGCAACCTCCACCTCCCAGGCTCGAGTCATCCTCCTACCTCAGCCTACTGAGTAGCTGGGAGGACAGGCACACGCCACCAACCTCAGCTAATTTTTGGTATTTTTGGTAGAGGTGAGGTTTCACCATGTTGCCCAGGCTGATCTTGAACTCCCGAGCTCAGGTGATCTGCCCATGTCGGTCTCCCAAAGCGGATGCCACTGAAATCTTAAAACCAAAGATTAGCACATGCCTTCTGACTGGACCACTAGATGCTCTTTCTTGTTGCAGCTGTCATCCCTCTAGTCACCCGCTCTCTCCCACTTCATTCACACATTAATGAAAGATTAGTTTGGAGCAATACGAATGCTTACAGAAAACCCCAAGCAGATATGCACAGGCATAAACAAGTTCACTTGCTCTCACCCTGACATGAATGGACAGCAAATAGTTTCCTTTCATTTATGAATTCAGATCATCTTATTTCATATTCTGTAGAGTAAGAAAAAAAACTTAACCCAGAGGAAAGATTCCTCTCTCCCATTGCAGACTTATTGAATGAAATTACCCTTTATCTCCCAAAGTTAAGAGGAGTGTACTGCTATGAATTCTATAGAGAAGACATACACACACACACGCATGCATACACACATACACACAAATGAAATGGAAGAAAACTGTGCAACTACTACATCTGGATCATACAAAGGAGATCATCATCCTCGTTTTATTTGTCAGTGGTTCATGGCCTCTCACATAGTGGATAGCACGATTAAAATTAAAATATCATGGATTTTTAATTATTTATCTCTAAAGCAGCTTGTCCCAGGATGAAAAAAAAATTATCTTAATGTTTTTCTCTTTCCCCTACTATGTGTGTGCCATCTTCCCCTCTCTTTTCCTCTGCCATAGGGACACGGGGAGCCATGTGTCGAGGCAGTGGCCTCACACATTGCAGGAACCAGAATCCCCACATCACTCTCACGAAGGAGAGTGGCCCTGGAGACTCATCTGGCACACATTTGATATTGTATGAGCAAGAAATAAATCATTACTGTATACATTAAGATTGGGAGCTGGTATTATAGCTTCAAACAACCACCACCGAAAAAGCCTATTCTTATGAAGTATTGAGGCATACGAGTATGCTGATAGAAATGATTCTCCAGAAAGCAGGAGGGCATTGATGCAGGAGGTCGGGGACACAATTGCAGGAGCAGTTTCCTTCAGTAGGCAATCCAGAGCACAAGCAAACAGCTTGCCTTAGCTGGACATGTGAATGATTCATTCACTTTACAGACAAGATGTCAGAGTATGAGAGTTCAGAAGGCGGGAAGTTAGTAGATTTGGTGGAGGCAGAATCATGCACTCTTTTTTGATTCCTTCTATTTTGGCCTAGAAAAAGAAGCAAATCATCAGCTAAGAATTTAGAGGGGATTGGAAGTCAGAGGACCAAGAAGATGGTCTAAACCAGCCTTCTCAGGGAACAGGAGAGGGAAGGATTAGAGAAATGTTGAAAATGAGATGGCCCGGCATGGACTGCATGGGGGTTGTTTTCTTTTAGCCATGCTTAGCTGCTCGGCTATAGGCTTTATCTAAGAGGAGAGTTAGATATACTTATGGTGGAAGTTTTGCCAGACAAGAGTTATAACATATAGCACAGAGATAAGGGACCAGAAAAAAAAAAAAAAGAAGAAGTGTAGAAAACCACTATTATTCTTTTGACCACGAAATGTGAGCTGAGAAGGGGAGGTAAGAACACAAGGATATTAGAGGAGTGTACTGTACTAGTTTGCTAGGGCTGCTATAACAAAGGATCAGAGATTGGGTGGCTTAGACAACAGAAATTTATTCTGAAGTCTAGAAGCCCAAGATCAAGGTGCCAGCAGGGTTGGTCCTAAGTCATTCTCCTTGGCTTGTAAATAGCTATTGTGTCAGTCTGTTGTCACACTGCTGATAAAGACATACCCAAGACTGGGTAATTTATAAAGAAAAAGAGGTATAATGGACTCACAGTTCCACATGGATGGGGAGGCCTCACAATCATGGCAGAAGGTGAAGGGCATGCCTTAAATGGTGGCAGGCAAGAAAGAGAATGAGAACCAAACAAAAGGTGAAACCCCTTAGAAAACCACCAAATCTTGTGAGACTTATTCACTACCACAAGAACAGTATGGGGGAAACTGTCCCCATGATTCAATTATCTCCCACCAGGTCCCTCCAACAACAGGTGGGAATTATGGGAGCTACAATTCAAGATGAGATTTGGCTGGGGACACAGCCAAATCATATCTGCCATCTTCTTCCAGTATCTTCACATGATCTCCCCTCTGTGCCTTAATTTCTTCTTCTTATAAGAACAACAGTCACTTGGATTAGGGCTCACTCTAATGCCCTCATTTCAGCTTAAGTACCTTTTTAAAAACCCTATTTCCAAATATGGTCACATTCTGAAGTACCGGGGCTTAGGACTTAACCATATAAATTTGGGAAAGACACAATTCAGCCCATAACAATGGGGTTAAGAGGGAAAAACAAAAAGTGATGGCTAGTAAGTGAGATGCTATTAATTGAGGTTTCAGAGGTAAAGGTCTAGAGGATGATCAAGAGAATAGGTGTCAGAGGTAAGTAAAAGGCAAAACATTTTGAAGGGAAGAGGTCAAGAACAAGGTATGAGAAGAATTGTACTCATGGCTATTGAAATCACCAAGACAAATGACAGAGACATGAAGGAGAAAAATGCAGTAAATCAAAATATACTGAGTGCTAAAATGTTCCATTAACACGTGGCTGCAGAGGGAAGGAAGGATGACAGATGTCTGTGACAGGAAGGGGATCCAATGGTGCAGTCAGATGGTATGAGCTTTAAGGGAAATGAGGAGATGTTGGGGAAAAGTGAAGAAAGCCAGAGAAAACCTTATTCTGGGAGAAGTGAGAAACAAAGGATGTACTATCATACCTTCAAGAGCCCAGAAGCACCTGGGATGCAGGGGGAAACAGAGCCATCATTTGAGAGCTACAGGGGAAGCAGTGACCTTAGGAAAAGCCAATTTTACTTAGAACAAGAAGTCGAAGTGAAATTTATGAGCAGAGATTGAAGATGGGGAATTTTTCAATCTCAAAGACAGATACTACTAATATCATTCCCCTACTCTTTTAGCCATGGGGAAGAGAGGATTTCTCAGCCCCCTTGTTCTTAGGCAAGGTCATCTGAATATTTCTGGCACAGAAATGTAAGAAATGACATGTGTCACTTCTAGGCTGAGACAGTGACAAACCCATGAGCAAGTCTCCCATTTCACTCTTACCCTGTTGAGGCCACCAAGAAGGCTTCATTTCCAGATGTTTTTGACAGAAGATTGTGAAGCCCTTGTCAGCTTTATCTCTGGGTGATTCTGGAGTACCGACTCCCTGCCAACCAATGTGGAATATAAAGTGAAAAATAAACCTTTGTTTTATAAGGAACCAGTAGTGTTTTAGGGTGCTGTGTGTATGTGTGTGTGTGCTTGATTTGCTACTATAGTAAAATCTAGCTTCTTCTCATTTGTACACACACTGTGAATTCCAGAATATACAGTAGAATTGCTGGGAAGGGAGGGAGACTGGAACTCATCAGAAATTGTGCACAGCTATATTAAGAAAGTGAGAATAAGGGTCTTAGGGATGGGGCATGAGTGGGAGGCTTGGATTTTTTTTGCAGTAACTGAGGAAAGTGAGGATGCAGGGCTCAATGACATCCTGGAGAAAGTGATGATTGAGTGCTATTGTAGCCTCCTTCAGTGGGTCTCTTGGGCACTTTGTGGTGGAGAGATGGGGAAAGTGATCAGGAGTGAGGGGCACAGATGACGCAACAAGGAGTACACAGGTGGCTCCTTCCACCTCCAATATCCTGTGTCTGGCAAAAGGAAGATGTTACCATGATGTTAATAGTAAAGGAGATTCTTACAGAACTAAGGCTCCTTGGAACACATACTGGAAAATTCAAGTCTAGAAGCATATGGAATTAAGCTTCTGTGTGATTTGATATCAATCAGTCATAGGGTCTCTTGAAAATAAGAAAATGTGAGAACATCATAAAAAGTTTGTTTTGTGTGTGGAGAATATCATTTTCATGGCAGGTCATCTCTCAGGTAGGTCTTTTTCCATTTAAAGAGGGAAGCTTCCTGCACAAAAGACATGCTTCCATTTCACCTATAAAGTAACAAATGAACTAAATGGGACCACAAGACTACACGAAACCAATTATCCAATGTCCAGGCCTCTTAGGTGAGCCAAATAATAGGTTAGAGGGCAGACAAGTCCAGAGATAAACAGAGTGTAGTATCAGGCAATGCAAAGAAAGAAAACACAAAGGATACAAGAAAAAAAGTGGATGGTGATGAAGCAGACAAGGCTAAAATCTAAAAATGAAGGGCTAGAATGGAGAGGAGGGAGAAGCAGTAGTATTAAGACATACAGTAGCAAGACATGGAGCAGACAGCTTCCTTCAGTGAAGATGCTTAGGAGAGGAATCACAGAGTCACAAAGAATAACATAAGAAAAGAAGCAGGAAAGTTAGGAAATTGCCATCGGGAAGTTGCAAGTCCTCCCAACCTCTACCCATTGCACAAACTCCATCCAAAAGAAAAGACTAGGAGACAGGGATCAAAAGAACATCAATGGAAACAGGGACATAATGAGGCACAACAAGGGCCACAGGCTCCAGAAAAAGGCCAAACTCCCTGAACCTTAGCTTTCTTCTTCAAATGATCTTAACTTCTGTGTTCCTCAATCTCCTCGTCTGTAAAATGGCTATGACAATTGTATTCACTGCCTAGAGTTGTTGTAAGAACAAAATGAAATGGCACCTACAAAGAGACAACATGTATGCTAAATAGAGAATGTTGTGAAGGATAATTCTCATTCCTAGAAAGCAAGACGGAAATGTTGAAGAATCCTTGGATGGCTAGAGAATATCTGCCAGCTCTTAATACGAGAAAAGATTTTTGGTCTAACTTACACTCAGCCTTGTGTATTTTATGTTTCATTCAACTCCACAGTAAGTTCAGTTAATAGTCTACCTACAGGGTAAATATCCTCTTCTGCTACAAAGCTAAGTAAAGAACACTAAAATTATACTGAGAAATGGAGAATGCCTAAATTCCAGTGGACCCTAATGATCATCTGATCATTAGCCTGGAGCCCAGGGCAAAAAACAACCTCTGATTATGCCAGCCTACTCCCCCACCTACTGGCAGGAACACTTGAATGTATGTGTTTAGGAGGCTCTTTAAACTATTGACGCCCTTCCTCCTCTGCCTCAAAAAAAAAAAAAAAAAAAAAAGCACCACTATCAGTACAGACAAGATGAGGCACAAGGCAGGAGGACCACCTGTGTGGACAGGGCTACTGTGGGACCACTCCTTAAGTCTGTACTTTTCTAGGAGGAGCAAACCCAGGTGAAGCCTCTTTAAGGCCAGGGCTGACACCTACATCTGTGAGTACAGTGGATACACAGCACCCACTACAAGCTCTCACATAAATCTGTGGCAACTCTTGGCTGATTGGTGAATTTTTTTAATGGATAATAGTTTGTGGATTATGCATAGTCCCACAAGTTGTGCTAACTCTTTTCTATTCCTTTGGTTCAAAAACGGTTATTAAAAACTTTCTATATCCCAGGCTGTGCCTGAAATAAGGCCTGATGTTACAAAGGCAAGAAGGTGCCATGTTAGTTTGCTAATGCTCCCATAACAAAGTGCCACAGACTGGATGGCTTAAACAACAAAAATTTATTTCCTCACATTTCTAGAGGCTGGAAGTCCAAGCGGAAGGTGCCAGCAGGGGTGGTTCCTTCTGAGGAAGGAGGGTCATGGGGAAAGGATCTGACGGAGGCCTCCCTCCTCAGCTTCTAGATGGCTATCTTCTTCTTATGTCTTTCCATATCTTCCCTCTATGTGTGTCTGCATCAAATTTCCTTTTCTTACAAGGACACCAGTCCATATTGGATTAGGGCCCTCCCTAATGGCCTCATTAACCCTGTGAAGACCTATCTCCAAATATGGTCAAATTTGAGGGTTAGAACTTCAAAATGTAAATTTGAGTGTTCGGGAAGCATTACAATTCAGCATATAGCAGATGCATTCCTTGTTTCAGGATGCTCATATTCAGTTGTTCACTGACATGCCCTGAGAAAGGCCTGGGAAGGCAAAAATTGTGATGCTATCCAGCACTTGCCATGACATAGTCCTACCGCCCACCGGTGAGCTCACCTTTTAAATATTGAAACTGCATTCACAGTAAGTTCTCTGTTAAGACAATTCTAAGCTTTACTCACTAGCCCCTCTGCCAGAGAATCAGAGAGGCTCTCTATACATTCAAAATCTTGTAGAATTAGAAATTATTGTGGCTAAATTTTGCAAAAAGATTGCAAAGTATGTAGGAGATAAAATACTAGTGAAGAAACCAGATGGGTCCATTCTAGAAAGACCAAGTTAGCCATGTACTAGCTACACTTCTGTTTTTTCTGTATAATTCTCACAAAGCCAGCTTATTCTTCACAGGACTGTTCTCTGTTCTTTGTTTCCAACCGAGACTGGGTCCCCACAGCCCAGAGTCCAAGAACAAAGGTCTACATACATAAACAAATTTCTGCTTAAGTAATATGATTGCATATTCAACCAAAGACATAAATATCTTAAGGCCAACTACTCCTACTCTGCTAATTCAGTGAATGATATTTATACAATGTTATGAAGAGCCACTTAGCTACCAAAAAAACCATTCCATTTGTACATAGCATCCCATTTCAGCTAAGCTTATAAAGTTCACTCGCTTGCTGCAGATCAGCTGCTTGTAAAGTTTAGGGTCAATTTCTGCTTCTCCCTGAGCAATGTCAAAAAGTAATGGAGGGAAACCTGGAGTCTGAGTGAGGAAGTCAGCCTCATTCTTTCCTTTCATTTTCATAAATACATGCATTGAAGAGGAACTTAGGATCTATTTATTTTACAATTACAAAGGCTAACAGAGCCTCTTTAAATTGTTTTGGTCCATGAAACCTAAATTTCTAACTATTCTACTAGACACATAATGTTTAAAGCAGGTTGGAGATTACTATTCTATGGTCACCTTATTATATTGTACATATTACATGAGCAGACCAAATTGACCAACTTCCCTTTTCCCCAGCAGATTCGTATCATTATCTTAAATATCCTGTTTCAATTAATAACATAAAAATCTTTCCAGCTACCCAAAGGAGACGTCTTTCTTTCTTTCATGAAACTATCTTTCATGCTTCTCTTTCCTATGCTTTCCATATCTATTCAATCCTCAACTTCTTTTCACACTACCATGCTCATTCAACTTTATTAGCTTAGTATTACAGGCCAGGAACTGAGCTAAGCATTGGAGAAATAAAGACACTAAGAAATGGTCCCTTCTTATTTTATTTTATTTTTTTAGAGACAGGGCCTTACTCTGTCACCCAGGCTAGAGTGCAGTGGTTCAATCATAGCTCGCTGCAACATCAAACTCAGCTCAAGTGATCCTCCTACCTTGGCCTTCCAAGTAGCCAGGACTAACAGCGCACCACCACCACCACATCTGGCCAGTGTTTTATTTTTCTACAGAGTCTTGCTATGTTGCCCAGGCTGGTCTCAAACTCCTGGTCTTAAGCAATCCTCCTGCCTCAGCCTCAGTCTGGGTCTACAGGTGTCAGCTACCATGCCAGGCCTAGAAATGGTCCCTTCTATTGAAAGCTCATAGTGTAGTTGGAAAGGAAAGTCAATTATCATCTACATGATGGAGCCATGATCAAACTATATTCTGGGTGTTTGGGGAGCTCAGAAGCAATATTCTTTTTTTTTATATACTTTAAGTTCTAGGGTACATGTGCACAACGTGCAGGTTTGTTACATATGTATACATGTGCCATGTTGGAGTGCTGCACCCATTACCTCGTCATTTACATTAGGTATATCTCCTAATGCTACCCCTCCCCACTCCCCACACCCCACAACAGGCCCCGGTGTGTGATGTTCCCCTTCCTGTGTCCAGGTGTTCTCATTGTTCAATTCCCACCTATGAGTGAGAACATGCGGTGTTTGGTTTTTTCTCCTTGCGATAGTTTGCTGAGAATGATGGTTTCCATCTTCATCCATGTCTCTACAAAGGACATGAACATTCTTAAACGGAGCTTTAAAGAACAAAAGAATTAGGGCTACACTGGGGCAGAGGAAGGAGGCAGGGGGCAGTGTGGAGAGGTAATTCAAAGAATATGAAAATGCACACACACCGAGCTTGAGGAGATACTAAACTGCCACGGTGGCTGGAACAGAGTCTGAAGTGAACTAGCAAGACATAAAATTGCAATAAAGCAGGGAGTGGATCATGCAGTACCTTGTGTCTGAAGTTATGAGTGATCCATTAAAGGCTTCTAAGTAATGACACAATCAGATACCTTTCCTAAAAAGCCTACCCCTGCTGCATTGGGTAGGTTAGAGTGAATGGGTAAGTGTAGGAATACTGAGGGAGGGAAATCAGATAGAAATTACTGGATAAATGTAGAAGGAAGAAAAAGAAAATTATGTTAACCTGTGGCCTCCATTCTCCCCAGCATCGGCTATAAATAAGGGCTAAAAAGGGTAAAAGATTTTTGTGAAAATCAGAACATCAATACATAAAATTGGATGTGCAGTGGCTATTTCAATCATTGTATTAGTTACCAAAATAGCCATAGAAACACCATATTGAATAATGCTGGTAGTATAGTATAATGATTAAAATATGGATATTGGCATGAAACAGATCTTGGTCTAAAGCTATCATTAATACAGACTTAAGCTAAATCAATGATACTGAACCTCACTACACCTCACTTTCTTTATCAAGCAAGTGAGATAAAAATCATATCAACCTATTAGAGTCATTGTAAGGAATAAATGGGCTAATTCATGCCCTTAGCACGGTACCAGGCACATGGTAAGCCACCTATAAAGAGAGGCTAATTGTATACCAGTTTGTGCCTGTAATAAACCTGCAATTAAATGATGAGGAGAGTCCTGGGCTGAAACATCTGTGTCTATTATTAATAGTTATTTAACTAAAATGAATGACTACATATGTCTGCATTTCCATTTTCTCTGATCAATTGAGACAAGATTCTTGTCCTATTTAGGTAATAAGGTTGATTTTTATATGAGAGAATATGTGTGAAAGCAGTTGGAATATTCTGAAGTGATGAATACATGTAAGGCATTATGGTCTGTCTTTGGTAAATTTTACTCTGGGTAGCCCTGGCCACATAGAGATAATTATGAGCTGCAGCATAGAAACAGTGCCAGAAGAACACTGGACTCAGATGAGGGGCCCTGAACTCTAGCCCCAGGAGTGCCACTAACCTTGACCCAGGGCCAGCCACTTACCAGCTTAGAGCCTTTACTTTCTTGTCAACAACTTAAAGGAGTGAGTTCCATACCCTCTAAACCATTTTATTGCAGTTCCAATGGTCTAATTCCCTTCTTCACTAAGACAACTTTAACGTTCAATATTCAACATATTTCTCTAGGCCATAAACTCCACTGAAATGAAGCAATGATAGGATTTACTACGGTTCAAGAATCTTTCTAACCCAGAGTCATTACAATCTCACATTATTTAATTTTTCATATGCTTTAATCTGTTCTGGCATTCAGAAATGAGCAGATTAAATACAATTATCCCACCAGAACACAGTTATCAGGCTTCACCCTAATAAGGATTTATGTAACCACTTTTAATTAAAAAAAAAAAAGATTCTAAAGGAGCTGGTAACAAAACTTGGCAAAAGACAATGAACATGGGACTTATTGTCTATTTTTTACTATTTTCCAAACAAATATATAGTTATTTGCTATTATTCCCTGTTGTTCAAGTTTCACCTGACTGAAACAGATTGGCTTTTTCCATAGGCAATATAATCAGAAAGGTTAAAAAGGGAAAAGGCCAAGGATTGATAATGCTGTGAAAAATTATTTTTCTGGATGATTCAGTAGGACACCAAACTCATCCATTATGTTCTGAGGTTCAAGATCCCAAACTTTAAACCCAGTGGAAAACTGTCTAAGATTTTATTGCTGTTGATATTGATGCTTATTTTGAGTTGTTTCTCTAATGAAAATCACTGTCCCTAAAAGAAAAAAGTTGCAAAAGAGTTCATTTAAAGTAGAGTTCCTGGCCGGGTGTGGGGGCTCATGCCTGTAACCTCAGCACTTTGGGAGGCCAATACAGGCAGATCACCTGAGGTCAAGAGTTCAAGACCAGCCTGGCCATCATGGTGAAACCCAATCTCTACTAAAAATACAAAACGTAGCCAGGCATGGTGATGCACACCTGTAATCCCAGCTACTTGGGAGGCTGAGGCAGAAGAATTGCTTGAACCCAGGAGTCAGAGGCTTCAGTGAGCCAATATCATGCCCCTGCGCTCCAGCCTGGGCAACAAAGCGAGGCTCTGTCTCAAAAAAATAAAATAAGATAAAGTAGAGTTCCTTAACTTTAGCACTGTTGCATTTTGAATCAAATAATTCTTTCTTGTAGGGGGCTGTCCTGTGCTTTGAAGGATGTTTAGCAGCATCCTTGGCCTCCATCCACTAGATGCCAGCAATGCTCAACTACCCCCAGCCATGGCAATCCAAAATGTTTACAGACTTTGCCTAATGTTTCCTGGGAAGACAAAATTGCTCCTTAATGTTCCCTGGGAAGACAAAATTGCTGGTTTAAAGACAGCTCATATAAACTTGCCCAGTTCCAAACCTGTATCACCGCACCTGTCATTGTCACATTGAGAACATCTTTGATTGATTATAATATGACACAAGTAGTTATGAATAGAGAAAGGAAGTTTTCTTAAAATGACTCCTTCTTAGGAGGAGTGATCAAATGCAAAACCTCTAGGACAACAGCCAAGACACCTTCCATTGCATGAGTTTTTATTCACAAAAAAAATTTTCTAGGACTCTCAGCACCCCATGAAGGACATGGAAAGCAAGAGGTTTGAGGTACAAAAGGTGGGTGTGCATGTGTGTTTCTTTTAATCTCTATCTCCTGTTTTAGTATATAGAATCTAATAAGCTCTTTTTATTTTTCTTTCCTTTTTTCTTCCTTCTTTTCTTCTTAATGATCTCTTCTTATGTGTTTTCTCTATATGCCTTTAACTTTCTCCCAAAAAACAATCTTGGAAGATAAAATTGGTGATTAAAAAAATGTCTGGAAGGAAACACAGGAAATTATCAGAGCATTTATCTCTGGAAAGGGCAGGCTAGGTGGGTCGAGGTCACTAGACTTATGTATACTGTATTATCTTCCATGCTGTTTAACCATTTTACAACTGGCATGAATCTGTTTCCAAGTTTAAAGAACTGGTTATCAAAATAAGTTTAAATTATGATTTGCATAGATAATATGTGGGGTAACATGGTTGTAAATTATAAGACATCTGCCAACACTGATTTCCCTTATAGACAAAAGAGCAGTTACTTGAGACTGTGATTTGGAGGTTTCTAATATTGTTCCTGAATGAGAGTATAGCTACCATTGCCAGTGGTGATGCAGAGAAAATGTGACTGGCATTCAGTAGATAGCAGGTGACCCTAGAGACTGCTGCATATAATACAACCCTGGGTTTCTAAATGAAGGTTGGGTAGGGAGATTCCCTGTAGCTCATTACTTCTGAGAATGCATTCCTAAATTGTTGAACGATTCACTCTAAAGCCTGGATTGCATTTGCTCTATTCGACAAGGACTTTCACATTATATAGAGTAACTGGATTAACTATGAGTTCATTGTGAGTCACTAAGAACTATATGACATATAAATGCAAAATAGTTGAAATACATTTTAGCTCCTGATAAATAACCAATGCATCATATATGTCTGTGTCAGTTTGGAAGATTCAACATGTATTTATTTAGGGTTTCCTCAGTATCTGGCACTGTGCTGGGCACGATGACACAGTGGTGAACCTGACAGAGCCTGGCCCCTCCCTCCATGGAGCATACCATTAGTTGAAATGTACAGAGAATTTTAACTTTTTTACTTTACACACTTCTGTATATTTTTCATTTACAGTAAGTATTTATTTTCCTTTTATTATTTTAAAAGCAAAAAAAGAAAGATATAATTTATTAAAATACAGCAGGGTATCCATTGGGTTAAAGCCATCAGGGCCATTAACGCTTTGCAATTTCTGGCTTTAAAGAAGCCTGTTTGGTTTCACTTAAACTATTAACAGCCTGTAGAATTTGTGATCAACACATGTTAGGAAGCACTAGTGTAGAAAGATAAATAACAAGAATATGATTAAAGAAAATGGATTAATGCTGACCATATAGACAGATTAGGTAGGTAGATAGATGCATACGTACATAGATCGATACACAGATATAGTTAGAAATTCTATCAGTAACTGTACTTCAAATTATTAAACTAATTTTTCAATATAAAATTAGTTTCAAAAATGCCCCTCAAAAAATTATGTGGTTAAATAAGCTTAGGAAACAGTACACATTAAATAACATATATACACCTCTCTTAGAAAACTGAAATATAATTAGATGGAAATTTTTTCTCACCAGGACTTCAAAGTGCTTCTTATTTCTACAGAAAGAAGAGGCAAAAAGAGAGAAGAGAGGCAAGGAGAGGCAGAGAAAAGAAAGGGAAAAGGAAGGGCAAAAAGAAAACACAGCATAGACTGTGTTAAAATTCCAAGGCTGCTGTCAAAGATATTGAGAACAGAATATATACATATATATATATATAAAATAAAGAATATATATATAAAGCAAATAAAGAATATATATACATATAAAGCAAATAAAGAAAAAGAAGAAAAAAAGAACTGTGTGGAGTAAAAACACAAAGGAGTAGAAAAAGAATGAGAACGAATGGATTAATTAATGGGTGGAGAGATAGATGAACACAGAATGATGGATAGACTGACAGATAAGTGGGAAAAGGAGGAAGGAAAAAGGAAGATTATGGGGCAAAGAGAAGGTATTTTTTGAGTAGCTGCTTCAATGATGGATACAGAAATGTTCTGGCTTGTAATTTACTACATAAACTATGTTTATCTCTTCAAGAATACCAATGATTAAGATCCACATTATTCTTTAAGGTGTCTGAAATCACAGTGGTGAGTTTGGGGAATGCATTGACAGTCACAGGCAGGCTCCCAAGTAGGCCACCTCTGGGATTATTACATGCATCAGGGCCATTAACGCTTTGCAATTTCTGGCTTTAAAGACGCCTGTTTGGTTTCACTTAAACTATTAACAGCCTGTAGAATTTGTGATCAACACATGTTAGGAAGCACTAGTGTAGAAAGATAAATAACAAGAATATGACTAAAGAAAATGAATTAATGCTGACCATATAGACAGATTAGATAGGTAGATAGATGCATACGTACATAGATCGATACACAGATATAGATAGAAATTCTATCAGTAACTGTACTTCGAATTATTAAACATTCAACAGCCTGAAGGCAACAGCCAAACTTAATAAACATGCCTAACAGAATTAATGATTCGAGTATGTTAAAGTCACACCTAACAACCTATCCTGTAACTGTGATAACTGAAAAGCATATCTGTTATCCTCCATCATCAATTTTTTAACTATATAATCATTTTGAGATTAGTTTACATTAAGCTGGGTGTGGTGGCTCATGCCTGTAATCCTAGCACTTTGGGAGGCCAAGGCAGGTGGATTACTTGAGCCCAGGAGATCGAGACCAGCCTGGACAACATGGCAAAACCCTGTCTCTACAAAAGGTACAAAAAATTAGTCTGGTGTGGTGGCCCATGCCTGTAGTCCCAGCTACTCAGGAGGCTAAGGTGGGAGGATCACCTGAACCTGGGAAGGTTGAGGCTGCAATGAGCCATGATCATACCACTGCACTCCAGCCTAGGTGACAAAGTGAGACCCTGCCTCAAATTCTTTTAAAAAATGACTAGTTTACATTAACACAATAATATTCACCTTGGTTTAATGAGTGCCCATGGCATGTTTTAATGTAATATATTTATTATACTTTTGCCAATTGAAGAATCACAAGGTTCATAAATTTGGAAAGGAGAGCTTTATTTCTCATAAAGACCCATAATCTGCAGGCTGCCCATCCTGCTGGCTGGGAAGCATAGTCTCCAGTAAAAGCCAAGAACAAGCACTTCAGGGAAGGGGCAAAGGAAATAGGAATTCACGCTGAGCAGGGTGGCCAAATATACATATTTAATAAGCTACAAGAGGAGTCATAAATATTTACGAAAGAAGAAACCATGCACATGCCTCTTCATAGGTCACATGTTCAAAAAAAATGGCAGTGTTAGCATGATCTGAGGGTGGAGTTGTCAGCCCTCTGCTGTCAAAAGGTGAAGCAGAGAACATGTACATGCTTACCGCACATCCTCTGCACAAGTCAGCCAAAACCGGCCTGGAGATGGTGGTCAGTTTTTAGGAAGGAATGCATTGCGAGGAAGTCTGGTCATGCCCTCAGATGACTGGCTAAAGGCCATAAAGGAATGAGGCATCCATGTCTTGTTTTCTAAAGCTGGTCTCTGCTTACTCTTTAGGAAAGAATCCTGGTTGAAGGTTAATAAGGAAGGCATATCTGACCTCCCATCCTGTCATGGCTGGAAACCCAGTTTTTAAGGTTTCTCTGGGGTCCCCTTGGTCAAGAAGCAGTCTGTTCAGTCGGTGGGGGCTTGGTAACATTTTTATTTCTCACTTTCTTATATACTGTTGGAATGTATTTGTTAATATTTTACCAAAGTTTTCTGTGTCTATGTTCATGAGAAATATTTCTCTATTTTTCTCACCCTGAAATGTCCTTTTCAGGTTTGGTATCAGAGACATGCTCAAAATACAAGTTAGAGTGTTCTCTCATCCTTTCTTTTAGAGAAAAAAATTGTAAAAATAAATGCTCCTGAAGTTTTCTTGTGATTGATGACAAATTCAGTTTCTTTCATTGATTTGTGTTTATTCAAATATTCTCCTTCTTCTTGTATCAGCTATGGTAATATGTGTCTATCAAATAATTTATTCATTTTATCTAAATGGCCAAATTTACCAGCATAAAGTTATTATCTTTTTTGTGATATCTCATTTTTTATTTCTGGTATTATTCATTTGTGGGATGTTTTCCCCTCTTTTGTCTTTGAGCTGTCTTGCTAGGGTTTTATCAATTTTTTAATCTTTTCAAAGAACTAGCTTTTGGCTTTGTTGCTTTGTTGACTTTATTGATTGTCCATTTTGTAATTCATTGATTTCTACTCTTTATTAATTACTTTTTTGTTCTTACTTTGGATTTAACTTGTTTTTCTACCTTCATAAATTGGACACTTAGAATACTGTTTTTAAACCTTTTGTCTTTTCTAATATAAGCATTTAACATTACAAATTTTCCTCTAAGAACTGTGTTGGCTGCATTCCACAAATTTTGATAGGTTGCATATTCATTTAGTTTAAAATATTTTCTAACTTCTTTTGGCCTATTCTTAAAACTGTGGTTTATTCCTAGAACAATGGGTTATTTTTAAATGTACTGCTTAATATCATAACTCATCTACAAATAGAGGTCCCAACAATGCCTCCCCTCTCCGTGTGCAAATGCTACTCACTCCTCACATCAGGAGATGAAGATTATTTCTCTTACTCTTGACTTGGCGCTTACCTTGTTAATTGGCTTGACCAACAGAATGCAACAGAAATGATGCTGTGCCAGTTCCAGGCTGAGTAGGTCTAATGTGTACTTGAGCTGGGTCTGGATTTGTTGTGGCTTTACTTAAATTCTAGTCACCAATGCCTTCAAATATTTCCATGGTGCAATCAGAAATTGTTATTTGAACACCAGCAATGCTCCAGAGGTCACTCCATGCTTTATCGCCTATCCGCTAGTTTTTAAGATGTCTGTGGAGTTCCCTTTGCTCTTCTGACTAGTGGTTGGGTGATATGGAGACAAGTAGGGGGAAGCATTGGTGGCTGGCAAAATTTAGGTAGCATCAGGATTTAGGTAGCATGAAGACCTCTCTCCACCCTACTGTCCTTCCCCTAGCCATCAGCAGCCCACTGCCTTGCAGTCAGTAAACCCGCTGTATGCCAGTGGGGTTTCTCTCCACATTCCGGACCTGCCCCCAGCCCTAACAATGATGCTTCTATAGTCCCAGTGAGCAAAAATTGGAGGGCAGGTGTGGCCTTGATCTCTGACTGAGGCTTCTTGGGGTATAACACAACAAACCAACCCACAGACATGATTAAATGTTTATTAAAAGTTCATCTGGTCTATTCTTACCCAGTTTGAGGTAAATAGTTGCCTTCTCTACTGACCTTTTCCCCTGGGATGAGAGCAGCCATAAGTCCTTCTCTGCTAGGAAGGGCCTATCCCTTTCTAGAATTTAATTCACTGTGTTTCTTTAGCTCTTTGCTGTTAAAGTGTACTGAGTTGCTGTCATTTATATAGTTGGAGTCTTTTGCAACTTTCTACCACAAAACAGAAAGCAGAAATCCTTGTATTTAAAGATATACAAGGTCTATACCCTTTCAACAGATTAGCCAGTCATAAATGATCTCTCAGTTTCTGCTCAAACTTCTTTCCTACTTACTAGTTTGTACAACAAGGACATCCTGGTCCAGTTCATAAACCAGTCCTCTCCAGGGCAAGTAGATAAGTCACCAATCCCACTGCCTATCAACATTTGATTATATATATATATATGAGGTTGGAAGTGGAAGCTTTAATGTTTAGAGTCTGTTTATGGGATTAGCCTGGCTAACCATTTATTAATATACCCATAGTTCTCTGCATCACAATAACCTTCCCTGTCTTCTCTGACACCTACCTAATGTGTTTCCATTCACATTACTAATCTGTTACCTATCCAACATTTCAATGACATAGTGGTATTTGTACCATTCCCTGAGCTCCATCCTACTTGGCCAGAATCCTGATGCTACTTAAATTTTGCCAGCCACCAAGAGTCTTCCCCCTACTTGTCTCCATATCACCCAACCACCAGTAAGCACCCTGCTATTGTAAAGAACTGAAAATATAACACATTGCTTTTAGCACTACCCATTTATATTTTGCTCCAATATTTTATACAGAACTTGTGAGGTATTTTATCACTATATCCCCCAATACAGTATGTGACACAAAGTATTCATTCAATAAATGTTGATTATTGTTTAATTGGATATATTATTGGTTAAAATTTCTATCCACATGGAAGTTTAAAGCAGGGCATGGTAGACAGAGGAAGGAAGACAGCTCAGGTGTGAGTTTTACCGGCCATAATTAGTATTGCCTCCATCTATAAAATGAGTTGTCCATGTAATGGTCAACAGTTGATTCCCAGCCTGAACAACATAGTAAGACCCCTACACAAAAAATTTTTTAAAAATACAGGTGGTAGCACACTTGTAGTCCCAGCTACTCAGGAGACAGAGGCAGGAGAATTGCTTGAGCCTAGGAGTTCAAGGCTGCAGTGAGCTATGATCATGCCACTGCACTCCAGCCTGGGGAGCAGAGTGAGACTTTGGCTGAAAAACAAACAAACAAAAAAACCAAAACAGTGAATTTCCCCCTCTCTGTATACTACTCTAAGTTGTGGTTCAATGATTAGATTTCTTGTTTGAATTTGAATGTAAAATTAGAATGAGGTGAGATTACTCTACATGAAAGCAATATCTTCTGTCAAGAGCTGAGCTGAGTTGAACTGAGTTGCCAGGTGATGTAGCTGTCAATTAAGACAATAATACAAAATGAAAGTAGCAGTCAAACCTTCCATCAGTTACTGCCATAATATAAGAAAGAGGCCAAATAGGAGAAAGTGCCAGCTCCATTGCCGTTCGTTTTTTTTGCCATGGATCAGCAGTGGGGAATGGTCAGATGGAGCAGCATGGGACACAGATGTGAGGAATCATCACTGCCAAGGGAGTCTCAAACAAAAGACTCTTGCTGTTTTATGGAACCAAAGGTCTGGAGGAGGGAGAAAGGGAAGGGTCAGGAATGGAAAAGTACTGACTACTTTTCTTCTAGTGAAGACACTATAAAAAGTGTCTTCAAGGTTTCCCCGTCCCATAGATAAGGCCGTCTCAGCAGAGGCACCTGAGGAAAGTTTCTGCCAAACTTTCTCAGTAAGGAGGTCTCCAAATAGAGGCACCTAGGCTACCAATGCAGCTAAGACTAAGAGCATAGCCTGCCAGAGGGGATGAGACCTTGACTGCAACTTCCTTCAGAGAATGCAATGCACTGGCTGTGCCCCAAGTCTGGAGTGAAGAGGGCAGCTTTTCCAGTGAGGCCTGCTAGGTGAAGCCTTTGTAATTTCCTAGGGTCAACTTTGAAAAAAAAATCACACATAGGTTTTTGGTCAACAGCCAGACTCCTCATCACCTACCAAAGAAGGAACTAACATGAGTGGAAACCGGAAGACACCACAGGTCCACTCATTTTTACAGCCTGAGAGCTTTGGTCTCCCAAAGAGCATCTGGAAGAAATTCAGCACTTTGGAAAGTTCTAGGTAGGTCCCTCCTGATTTCTGTCTTGTCTAAAGAAACTGAGCCTGGTGGCCCATTGTACATATGCAGGAACTTACCTAGGCTAGGACAAAGTGATCAATTCTGAGACAGCTTATGAAATTATCTATGAGGTAGTGGGAAATTCAACACGGAAAACACTAGTATTGTTATGATTCTCAACAATAAATGAGAATTAAACAAAGCCTAGGGTCATCTTCATTCTATTTATCACTTAATGTTTTGTATTAAATGTATTGTATCACTAATACAATATCCATGGATATTAAATATTACAAACTCATGCACACCTTCAAAAGATGTAGTTCTTATTCTGAAACAACTTACATTCTACAGACATGCTTAGAATGTCTATAAGGGTTAGGGAAAAGCCTTTAGAGGACGTAGCTCTGCTGGTTAATGTCAACAATAATAAAATAAATGAATAGCATGGAGATGGAGCCTCCATTCAATGTAGTCTTACATTAAAAAAGTTTAGTTTCTTATAAAGACTCAATAGATATTATTTTGCTATTACATATACACAGCTTTTGGACAATAGAACCTTGTTTTTTTTTGATAGATCAAAAAGTAATAGTATGGAGTGGTTTGTAATACCAGCCTTAAACAGTGATTCTGGGTAATGTATGGAATACTTGAGACAATGAATCACATTTTAGTAGGATTTGTAATGAAAATGCCATGGAAGGATATAGTCTAAGGGTCTCTGTCATACCATGTAGCTAACAGTAGTAATTGTCAGTGATTACTTCCAGAACCAATGGTCTATAAAAGCACGACATGCAGAAAGAAGCATACAATCCTGATATTACCCTTGGTCGTAGGCTGATTTCCAACACCGTGTGCCTGGCAGAGGAAAAAGCAACTGTATAAATATTCAGATAGGAAAGAGAAAGAGAGAACTCACGTCAGTTCCTAAGCTATTCTTTCAGGTAACTTTTTCGGAAACAAATACTTGTGCTCTACTGCCTGTTCAGATAACTAGTTTCTGCTTATAGAGAAAGGGAAAAAGCAACAACAACAAAATGGCCTTGAAAATGCCGACCACATAAGTCAGATATGTTTGGCTTGCCTAGAAATATTTTCAAAAGGTTTTTCTTTATTTTTAACCAAAGGAACTTTTATTTTTCTGACAGTTTTATAGGCACTGTTGACTGAAAATATCATCTCCAGCCCTGGCTTACATCTGACATTCACTGGAAGCCATTTCCACTTCATTTCATGGTCATTGACAAATGAGTGGTGTCTTTTGGATCCACTGTGCAGCAATGCTATTATCTCTAAAGATTCTTACTGAATTGGTGGGCTCTCAATAAGTCTCTAGTAGTAGTATCTCATTAGGCCAATGAAGCCATTAAACAAGATTTAGCTTAGACTGAAGAGCCAACCACATATTACAAATCCCACTTAGAATAACATTTTCAAAAAAGCATCAGTTAACCTATTCCTGAGTGCTATCCCTGCAAAAGAAGGCTTAGAGCAGGTGACTCTTTTATAACCAATATTTTGGCAAACACTGAAGTATTCAAAAATAGGCAAACAATTTCAAGAAAAAATTGTCAACTACTCAATATCAGAGAGTATTTGTTAAATAATACAAGTAAATCCTTTCTTCAACCTTCATATCATTTAATAAGACAAGGTACTGTGGCATGGGACAGTCTTGGTAGTCATGTTGATAGTGTATACAAAAGCAATAAACATTGGCTTTTTATACAGCATAAATATTCAGCTTAGCAATTTTAGTAATTGCATTGTTCACTCAAAGGAAAATTTCTATTGTCTCTCTGTATATGTTTGCCTTCCTTCTGTGCCATAATTCTACAGGAGAAACTCTTAGAAACAACACAAGGCTTAAGTATTGGAATCAAGAATTTTATTTTGCTCATTATTTCTCTTTTTGTTAATTCCCCAAGTATTCCGGTTATTTATTTTAATGTATTTTCACCAGAACCCTTTGATGTTAGAGGGCATTCTCTCACTTCTGAGCATTTAATAATATAGTTTGATAAATATTAAAATATATTTTTATTCCAAATAAGTTTTTGGGGTGCCTTAAATATAATCAAAGTTAAAATTCCATTTTATCTTATTATGAAGCTGACATTTGCAACTTTGTTTTTCAATTTTAAAAGGCCTATCCCAAGTTCATCTATAAATTTTTAAAGTACAATCTCATGGAGCAAATGGGACATGTACATATAGTTTATTAGAATACAAAGCCAGCAAGTATTTTCAGGAAAGTCCAAAGTAGTTCTTTGTCCTAAAATAGGAAGCTCCAAAGAGGTTGAAGAGCTCAGGATGATCTTATGGAGAACATATAATTTGAGATAGGATCTGAAAATGGATATAATTTTAGGGCAATACTCTCCAGGCATTTCATTTTTTAAATTTTGCATTGCAAAAAGATTCAAACATTCTATGAAAATATACAAGACAGGAAAGTGGGATTCACAGGTTTTATCTGACCCTCTGCAGATTACAGTGCTCTTATTAAAACTACATACAGTTGATTCTATTTTCTATATAATAATATCATAAGGTAAAGAGAAAATGTTCACAATTACTGGGAAATGGGTACTATGGAAGAAAAAGTATTATCTGTACCCAAACATATGTGTGTCCTCTGTTGGCTGACTTGTTAGTTTTCAAGGAACATCCCACTAATCTTTTATTGATCCTATTATCCGAAAAGGAAGAACTCTCTACCTAAAAGTGCACATTACTGAAACAAGCTCGAAATAGAAAGATCTGCATGGATGACCTCATAGAGAGGTGCAAGCTAGCCACAGGCAGAAGGGAAATCTATCTTAGTAACACTGCTTCCCTTAGTTTCTGCTTCCTTATCTCACAAATCTCCAAAGTTACTGACAACAGCATTTATTTCAGCACATTTAATATGCCCTTTAAGTTACCACAACTTAGATGTACGGTAAATGATACAAACAAAAACTACATTAGAAGTATATTTCCCTCATCCTGGAATATTATATTTGTTTTAAATGGGGTCCCTAAGGAAAAAAAACAGGAATCAGATGATAGCACTTCACACCTCGTCTTCCCCATGTCTTAGCTGAATAATCTGAATATATTTATTCATTCAGCACAAATATGTATTGAGTACCAGGTACTGTTGTAGGCACTGGAGACATGGTATCAACCAAAGAAACAAGAAACTCCCTCTTGGAATTTGCATTTCAGTAAGAGAAGCAGACAGTAATCAATGTGCATACGTGAAATATATAGCACAGCAGAAGGTATTAAGTGCTACAGAGAAAGATAAACGTGGGCCAAGTGACTGAAGAGGCATGTTATTGTACAGGCAGTGCCCAGAGAAGGTCTCATTAACAGGTTTCCTGTGTGCCTAGACTGAAGAAAGGGAGCTAATGCGCTGGGGAGATTGGGGAAAGAGTGCTCTGATCAAAGTGGCAAGATCCACAACAGCAGCCTCTTGGTGTGTTCATGGAGCAGCAAGGGGGAGGCATGGCCAGAGTTTGGTGAGAGTGGAAGGACAGGCTGGTAGGAGATGAGGTCGGAGAGGAGGAAACAGACATCATCTCCCACTTACATTTTTATTTTGTTCTAAATCATATACAATATCACTTGTGCTATATTCTTTCAGACCCTTTCTACTTCTTTCATTGTTCTCTTTCCTGAGTACAAAGTTTAATTAATCTGCAGTGAATATAAAAGGGTTTGAACTCATCCAGTGTGGGGGTGGAATTGGTGATGAAGTGTAGGGAATGCACAGATTTGTTCCATCTCTGCTAAAGCTTCAGGCTCTGGGCTGCTACCTTTACAGCAGCCCCTTTCAGATCTTTGCCTCCTAGACCCTCCTGCACCACACCCTCCTGACCTGGTCATCCTCATGGTTTTGCAATCCAAGAACAACAGGTCCTTCAATATGTGGTGATCTTGTTTGGACCCAGCCAGACTAACCAACAACGGGATTGAAAAAGAAAATTTAGGTCTTGGATGGTATAAATAAAGAGGATTGGCAACAGCAAAATGAAAAAGAAATTCAAAGACCTCATGCGGATGATGATCCTGCTTTCTGCAAAACAACCACTAGCTACAAATAATCAGAATTCTGCTCTTCTCTTCCTTACTCAGGTAGAGCTCTATTCCATCCACTTTTAGCCAGGCAGCCAGTAGGAATAATGAAGGCAGCAGTTAGAAAATCACCTGTCCTAAGTGCCACAAATTCTCTATGTAAAGGAGAGATAGGAGATCTATAAATAATCTTAATATGAATAGAAATGCAAATTGTATTTGTTTTTTATCATCATATTTGTGTTAGACACAGCAACCTATATGAAGATTGGTCAAACAGCTTCAAATGTGTTTATACAAATGCTTGAGTTAGAAGTGGAAAAAAATTCCTATATGAAACCATTTATAAAAAATAAATTATAGGGATTTATATCAGGTATGCAAGGCTATATTCTTTCAGACCCTTTCTACCTTTTTCATTGTTCTCCTTCCTGAGTACAAAGTTTAATTAATCTGCAGTGAATATAAAAGGTATGCAAGGCAGATTCAAAACTCGAAAATCAATTAATGTAATCTATCACATCAGTAGCCTAAAAAACAAAAATCACATGATTTTATCAAGAGATACAGAAAAAGCATTTGACAAAATCCAACATCCATTCATAACTAAAACATGCCAGTAAACTAAGAACGAAGGGGAACTTCCACTACTTGATTTAAAAAATCTACAAGCAACCTACGCATGACATCATACTTAATGGTGAAAAACTCGAAGCTTTCCCACTAAGATCAGGACCAAGACAAGGATGTCCCTTCTCATCATTCCTTTTCAACATTGTACTAGAAGTTCTAGTTAATACAATAAGTCATGAAAAGGAAACAAAAGGTATACATATGGAGATGGAAGAAATAAAACCATCTTTGTTATCAGATAATATGATTCTTTATGTAGAAAATCCAAAATAATCCACAAAAACTTTGGAACTAATAAGTGATTATAGCAAGATTGCAGATACAAGGTTAAGATACAAAAGTCAATCACTTTCATATATACCAGACATAAACAATTGGAGTTGAAATTAAAATCACAATATTATTTACATTACCACCCAAATAAGTAAAATACTTAGTTCTAAATCTAAGAAAATCTAAGAGAACCAGAGCTACATAAGAAAAACTACAAAACTCTGATGAACAAAATAAAGAAGAACTAAATAAATGAAGAGATAGTCCATATTCGTGGCTAGAAAGACTCAATATTGTCATTATATCAGTTTTTTTTTTTTCTTTTTTTTGTTGTTGTTTTTTTTGTTTTTTTTTTTGTTTTGTTTTTTTTTTTTTTTATTATACTCTAAGTTTTAGGGTACATGTGCACATTGTGCAGGTTAGTTACATATGTATACATGTGCCATGCTGGTGCGCTGCACCCACTAACGTGTTTTTCCCAACTTGATCTATAGATTCAACACAATCCCAAACAAAATCCCACCAAGTTATTTTGTAGATAACAACAAACTGATTCTAGGATTTATATGGAGAGGTAAAAGACCTGGAAGAGCCAACACAATATCGAAGGAAAAGAACGAAGTTGGAGAACTGACACTACCTGACTTCAAGACTTACTATCAAGCTACAGTAATCAAAACAGTGTGGTATTAGTAAAAGAATAGACAAATAGACCAATTAAAGGGAATAGAGAACCCAGAAATAGACCCACATAAATATAGTCAACTGATCTTTGACAGAGGAGCAAAGGCAATGCAATGGAGCAAAGACAGTCTTTTCAACAAGTGGTACAGGAAAAATTGGACATCCCTTGTAAAAAAATAATAAATCTAGATGCAGATCTTACACCCTTCATGAAAATTAACTTAAAATGGATCATGGTACTAGGTAAAGTGCAAAACTAAAAACTTCTAGAGGATAACATAAAAGAAAATCTAGATGACCTTAGGTAGGGCAATGACTTTTTAACTATGTCGAATACCAAAGTCATCATTAATGAAAGAAATAACTGATAGCTGTACTTCATTAAAATTAAAAATTTCTGCTCTGCAAAATATAATATCAAAAGACTTAGAAGAAAAGCCACAGTGTGGTAGAAAATATTTGCAAAAGATACATCTAATAAAGTGCTGTTGTCCAAAAAATCCAAAGAACACTTAATACTCAACAATAAGAAAATAAACACCCCAATTAAAAAATAGGCCAAAGGCATTGGCATTCACCTCACCAAAAAGCATATACAGATGGCAAATAAGCATATGAAAAATATGTTCCACATCATATGTCATCAGAGGAATGCAAATTAAAACAATGAGATACAACTACAAATCTATTAAAATGACCAAAATCTAGAATATTAACACCACCAAATGCTGGCAAGGATGTGGAACAACAGGAACTCTCATTCATTGTTGGTGGAAGTGTGAAATGGTACAACCACTTTGGAAAAGAATTTGGCAGTTTCTTATAAAACCAAACATACTCTTACCATAAGATTCAGCAATCAGTCATGTACCTTCATAGTTACTCAAAGGAGTTGAAAACACGTCGACACAAAAATCTACACCTGGATGATTGTAGTAACAATATATAATTTTCAAAACTTTCAGCATTGGCAAGGTTGTGAAGAAATGAGCACTCATTTCAGGAAATCCAAATTGTACGAAGCTTTTGAAGGATAATTTCATAAGCAGCTATTAAAATATAAAATATGCATTTTCCTTGACCCAGCAACTGAATTTCTGGCAATCTATTTTAATCTAAGGTGATTAGTAGAGTAACCAAGATGTCCTGCTGCCAGTGAATGGATAAATAAAATGTAGTACATGCAGACAGTGGAATATTACTCAGTGATAAAAAGAAATGAACTATCAAGTCATGAAAATACAGGGAGGAAAGCTAAATGCATATTATTAGATGAAAGAAAGCAATCTGAAAAGGCTGCACACTGTGTGATTTCAACTATATCACATCTGGAAAAGGCAAAACTATGAAGACAGTGAAAAGATCAGTGATTGCCAGGGATTGGGGATGGGGAGAGGGATGAATAGGTGGAGCACAGAGGATTTGGGGGCAGTGAAAATGCCCTGTGTGATACTACAGTGATGGGTACATGACATTATACACTTATCCAAACCCACAGAATGTACAACATCAAGAGTGAACCCTAATGTAAACTATGGACTCAGGGTGATCCTGTGCCAGTGTAGGTTTATCAATGACAACAAATGTACCACCTCGGTGGGGAATGTTGATAAAAAGGGAGGCTATGCATATGTCGGGATAGGGGATAAATGGAAAACTTCGCTGTGAACCTAAAACTCCTGTTTAAAAAAAGTCTAAAAAATAGATTATAGATGGGTGAAAGAACTAAATGATAAAAAGTGAAGCATGCTAAAAATCCATCAAGAGGAATAAAACTATAAAGCATTATATAAGAGAAGTTTGGAAGGCTGTCTTAAATAAGTTTCAAATGCTTAACTGTAAACATTTAAATTCCTGATCATAAAAGGCTGTGTTAACAAAGTTAGAAAATAAGCAACAGATTGGGAGAAAAACATTTGCAATGCATGCAGTAACAGGAAGATTTGGAGCCAGAATACATATGAAGAATTCCTACAAATCAAACCACTCATAAAAATGGTTGGGGCAAGAAAGACAAACAAGGCACAAAAACAGAAATACAAGTACACAGATGCTTAAGTTCTAGTAATTAGAGAAATATAACAAGATACACATTTTCAGTCACACTAACAAAATTAGAAGATTTGATATCATTCAACGTTGGCAAGGTTGTGAAGAAATGGGCACTCATTTCAGGAAATCCAAATTGTATGAAGCTTTTGAAGGATAATTTCATAGCATCTATTAAAATATAAAATATGCCTTTTCCTTGACCCAGCAACTGAATTTCTGGCAATCTACTTTAATCTAAGGTGGTTAGTACATATAACAAAGAGTCATATGTAAGGATGGTTAATGCAGGATTGCTCCTAATGGTAACAAAATGGAAATATCTCAAATTTCCATTAATAGGAAGATTGTAAAGTAAACTATGGTGTGATCCATGCACTGGATATGCAGCAATTTTTAAAAATTAGAGAAATCTCTTTATACCAGTAGTTTTCAACTGGGAGCAGTTTTGCCCACCAGTGGACATTTGGCAATGAGTATCTGGAGACATTTTTGGTTGGCATGACTGGCAGAGGGATGAGTGCTACTGGCATCTAGTGAATGGAGGCCAGGCATGCTGCTAAACACCTTACAATGCACAGGACAGCACCCTCCCAACAAAAAATTGGCCCCAAATGTCAGTCGTGCCAAGGCTGAGAAACTTTGCCTTATACTAACATAGAAAGAACTCTCAATCATCAGGTTAAGTGGAACAAAGCCAGCCAAACAACAGTACATATAGCACTACCCCGTACCCGAAAAACAAAATTAAAATTTTCAAACCTGCACATTATATTTATGTATGAATATTATTTTTTATCAGAAAGAATAGATACTAAAATATTAATCTCTGGGACAAAGAAAGAGTGACTGAATATAAAGTCAGAAAGACCATGATGCTATATTTTTCTGGATAGTTTGAAATCTCCCCACCAATCACATATTAAAGTACTTTTGTGTAATTAAAAGAAGAAAATTTAAAATGCAGGAGCCTATATCCCATTCATTCTAGGAGAACTGAATTAAGTTCTCACTTTCTCCCCTGAGCTTTGAAACCTCTGACGTAACCATTCCCTATTCTTGTGTCTCATGATCTGAAAAGCAGGGATGGTATTAACATTTGTTTCAGTAATGGTTATAATTTAAAAGTACCGAAATTCCTTAGAATGCCATTGCTATTATGGGCCAAATTGTTTTCCCGCTGTAAGTTCATATGTTGCAATCTCAACTCCCAGTACCTCAGAAGGTAACCATATTTGGAGATGAGGTTTCTAAAGAGGTGATTAAGTTTAAACGAGGCTGTTAGGGTGGGGCCCTAATCCAATATGACTTGTATCTTCCTAAGAAGTCAGACACCAGGGATGAGTGCCCACAGAAGGCCATGCACACAGTAACAAGGGGTTCCTCTGCAAGCCAGGAATAGAAGCCTCGGAAGAAACCAAACCTACCCCCACCTTGATCTTGGACTTCCAGCCTCCAGAGCTCTGAGAAAATAAATGTCTGTTGTTCTGGCCATCCAGTCTGTGGGGTTTGGTATGGCAGCCCTAGCAAACTAACATACTTGCTATGTAAGAATACAGTAAAAATAAAATCATTGGTGCCTATTCTACTTTTTCCCTGAGGGGTTAAACACAAGAAGCAAAAAAGTCACTGAGCTAGTTCATTTCTCAACTGAGGAGATGAATAGAGTTAGTGAAAACAAATCCATACTTCTAGGTGGCAACTGTCTTGCATTCCTGTTGCTGACACTCTGAAGTTATGGACTACAATTTTTGTGACAGATCCTCCTAGCATGCTCTCTGTGGCTTCTCTTCTCTCTACCAATTACCTGCTAACACAGCCACTGGCTGTGCATCTGCACTTGTAGTCATCAAAGGAGCTGATGTCACAGCACACAACAAACCCTGGAGAGCTGGGACTGAGATGTGTGTTTGACTAAAGATTACAGGGAATTGATCACCTTTTTCTTTTTTTCCCTTTGTATTTCCCATAGATAAATGGCTCCTTCTTCACAGGGAAAAATAAGAGGAAAACAGCAGTGGAGAGGAGAGACTACAAAGACCTGTAGATCAGGGTCAAGAAGAGTAATAGATATACTCAAGTTTAAAGGGAAAGCCAAATGCCACTGGAACTCTGAGAGGCAACCGCTCAAATCACCCTTGCCAACCTGGAGTGACTATGTTGAAATGAAATAGCTCATGACAGGCTTAGACAGAGAGAAGGCCTGAGACGGTACCTTGAGTTCTGCAGGTCCTCAGTGTGACATGCAAGTAACCCCTCAGTGTCCTCTATCCCAGAGGGAATAGCTGAGGTTGCAGGATAGTGAGTTGGCCTGGCAGATAAGCACAGATAGAGAAGTGATGCTGAGAATGTGAGCAGAATGGCCGACTGTCAAGCTGGGGCTAAATGAGAGTCACAGCCAAACCTCAGGGATCCAGAGCATCAGTGAAAGCAGAGGTGGAGAGGGAAGACATCATCAGGAAGAGTCCAGCAATTTAGAGCCCACTGCATTATTCATGCCGGGCACCAGATATGTCAGCGATAAAGGCAGTGAGACCAAGGTCTCTCCCCACAAACAAGCAGGACAGGACACATTGGTGATGAGGACTCAGTGGACTCGTGCCCATTCCAGCGTCCAGGCTTCTAGTTCCCACCCACCACTGTGACAACACTTAAGTCTCCTCCTGCACCCACCTGCCACCCAGGGAAGGAAGAGAGGGAGGGCAGGGCTATCACTTGTATGAAAAGAAATAGCTCTGAGAGGGAGTTTGAACTTTGAACAGCTTGAATATTTATCTAAAGGGGCTGTTTTCACCAGTAGAGACTTGACTATCTTTAATTGTCAAGTTTAAGTTTTTACCTCATTAGCACAAAAGAGATCACAATGCAAGATAAAATCAGTTAGAAAAAAATTTCAAAGCTTCTTTTATTCCCCACATGAGTTATGCTGTATATTTCTACTCCTTCTTACATTTTAGAATTTTGTCTTATAAATAAATCATAAAGGTAAAGGGCCCTCTAGCAATCTACTAGAAAGACCACTTTCTAGAACAATGATGCATGCTGCTCTCTGGCAGCAAGCACTCAGGTAAGGTGTGTGTGACCAGCATAGCTCTATGATGGAGGATGGCTGGTGTGTGCAAGAAGCAGAGCCATCCCCAGCACAGTGTGAGGGAGGAGGGGCTATGGCAGGGCACAGACACAGAAGAAAAGACTTGGATATTCACATTCAAGTAGAGCCCCTGAACCCTAGCTTCTATTAGTTTTGAGGGGTTTTGGTTTTTTGGTGGTTTTGTTTGTTTGTTTGTTTGTTTTGCTGCTCGATCAAGAGAAGTACAGAATGTATAAAAAGAGGACACATGAAAGGTTTTCATCCTTGCTTATTAAAATAACTATATATCTTTAATGCACCCTTCAATATTCTAAGGGTAACAGCATACTGCTTGATTTGCATGCTCTTGATTTCCATTTGAATATATCATTATGGCTATAAGTAGATGCAGATGCTTAAGTTAATTTTATTGTTAATGCCTCAAGGCATTTTTAGGAAAAGTGCACAAAGCTTTTAAAAATCCAATAAATTATATAGAACCTTAATTTACTTCCTGTTATACCTTCCACTGAGGAAGGACATAAAGTGCTCGTGAATTTAGATCTTGCCTTTGTCACCAATTGAATAAGTATTTGACTTACTGAAATGGACAAAACACACTCTTGGAATGTTATTTATGTGCTAACAATCCCTCATTAGTTGGATAAAGAATTATATCTTGACTAAAATTGATAAGAAGCTTATAAACTGTCCTATTAATCTACAAATAATGATAACTTGTAGGCATATATTATGTCAAGCTCATGTCAACAGAAATGAAAGTTTGTCTGGAATCATTCTATAAAAACCTCTATTACTCCCTCTACTCTCTAGCCACAGAATCTTGACTGCAATTGTCAGCACATATTCCAACTTAGTTACTTTTGTATAATAACCTCTGAGAGGGGTGGGGATTAAATACGTATTCTATAAAGATAAACGAAGATAAATAATGATTCTATAATCTATCATATGATTAAATATACATGATAGATTATAGAATAATAATTGCATACAGCTTAAAATTCAATTTATTCACTTGTAATTCAAATGAGACTGGCCTCACTGGGCTTCCCTCGTCTCCTCCCAAATGTGCCTTGAAGTCAGACCTGATATTGATATAGGAGCTAGAAAGAAATTATTTAGGAAGTTAGTTAGTGAGGGTAAGAGAATCCTTGGTAAGGTTTCCTTCTAATAAAAAGCAGCCCCAAAATCATTTCTTTTCTAACAAAAAGCAGCCTGAAAAATCAAGCTGCAAGCACAGATAAGCAAGTGAAAATCTTCCATAGGTAAATGCTGGCAGCTGTACCAATAGGAAAAGGCTACCTGGGGGCTAGGCATGTTCAGCATAGCAGCTCCATCTTCCCTTTTGTCAACCACATGTACAGTAAGGAACAGATAACATGGCGCTGGCCAGGTAGAAAACCCATCTGCATAATAAAAGATTAGGGTGGGGTGACCAGCTTCTTCGCTTCTTCGCACACTATGTAAATGCCACACCTGGTCCAACCAATCTTTGGGCCCTATGTAAATCAGACACCACCTCCTCAAGCTCATCTATAAAACCTCATGCATTTGACCATAAAGCCAGAAGACCCACTTTGGAACCCCTCTCTCTCTCTGCAGGAGAGAGAGTTATTCTCTTTTCTTTTTTTCACCTATTAAACCTCCACCTTTTTTTTTTTTTTTTTTTTTTGAGTCGAAATCTTGCTCTTGTGCCCCAGGCTGGAGTGCAATGGCACAATCTTGGCTCACTGCAACCTTCACCTCTTGGGTTCAAGCGATTCTCCTGCCTCAGCCTCCCGAGTAGCTGGGATTACAGGCGCCTGCCATCACCCCCGGCTAATTTTTGTATTTTTAGTACAGACGGGGTTTCACCATGTTGGCCAGGCTGGTCTCAAACTCCTGACCTCAGGTATTCTGCCTGCCTCAGCCTCCCAAAGTGCTGGGATTACAGGTGTGAGCCACCGAGCCCGGCCAAACCTCCACTCTTAAACTCACTTCCTGTGTGTCCACATCCTCGATTTCCCTGCCAGGAGACAACGAACTTCAGGTATTTACCCCAGACAAGGATGCAGTTTCAATATGTCCTATCTAAACACATACACACACACACACACCACTCCAAAAATAGAAGTCACTTTGGTTGAAGTGTCTATGTGGAAATGAAAAAGCGAGTTTTAACTACCTAGGAAGACATCAGAAATGCTCTGCTTTAAACTGCTCTTCCTTTGCCCCTAATTTCCTCTCCCACTTCAGTTGCTTAAAACTCTTCTCCACATCTGTAGCCAACTCACTGCTACCGGAACTACCTTCCCCAACCTCTCAATCCACTTTCATTAAATTAAGCAATGTAGTAGATACTTAACTTCCCCAGTTTGTATCCTCACTCACCATCCACCTCAGCAAATAAAAGTGCGCCTTCAGGGTCCACCCTTCTTAGAATGCAAGGGGAGATTTTGAACAACAGACGCTTTGTTGCAGATACGGAAACTTGACCTTCACTCACCCTCAAACACACTCACCCTCTTCTGCTCACCTATAGAACAATCAAAAATTAGGGGCAAAGGAAGAGCAGTTTATTGGTATTAGTTGATTAGCACCCAGCTCTTCCCTCCTGGGGAATTAGGGAAGCCAAGGAAATGACCTAGCACTACTCTGTTTGGCCTCAGGTTTGGTTTGTCATCTAATTTTTTTTCATCTGCAAACCTTGTCTGCATTTGACACCAATGATATTGTCCACAAATATCTATTGTAATGATCACTTCTTTTTTTTTTTTCACGGCCAAGATGCCACAGCATTTTATTACCGTTACAAAAGTCAACCAATGATATTTTAACTGAAATATACTGAATGATGATTCAACATATGAGCAAAAGAGGGATGTCTTTGGAGAAGGCACTTAAGGTAGAACATTAGAAAATCTTACCGGTTGGCTAAAACAAAAATGAGCTCTTTCAACCTGGCTGGAGGCCTGTTAGGGCTGTTCCTTCTCACTGTGGCCTGACTGAAAACCAGTGGCATTAAGAAAACATCACATTCCCAAGTCTAGAGGTGGCCCAGTGGGGTGGTGCTGCTTTCAAAAGCCCTGTGTCCCTAAACACATCCATTCTCACAGGATCAGTTTCCCCAAGTGCTGGTTCCAGAAATAGGCTCAGGGCTAGCAGAAATCATTCAGGAAGCTTCTTGAAGGACCTCTCCTTATTTCTTAGTCTGACTTTCAGCTTGTCCCAGCTACTGTAAGCGGCTTTGGCTTCCCAAGGTCACTAGCAACTTCTACTTTTGCTAATATCCTTGGTTTTCCATGGCACTGGTTGTGACCATCTGTTAGACTAGTGGCCCCCCAATTAACTGCACCTCCACTTCACACCCTTTTCTTGAATCTGGGCTGGGCTCGTGACTTGTTTAATAAGTAGAGGCATACTCCAGCTCTCTTCTGTTTAGAAAAAATCATCATCATCGTCATCATCAATAGAGGGCAGTAGAAGGGATGCTGCAACAATTCTGGACTTAAGTCTTCAGAAGGCCTGGCCCCTTCTGCTTTTGAGCTCTTGAGAGCTCTGAACTGCATGTGAGAGGTCTAGTTACCCTGCCAGTCAGGCCACTGAAAGAGACTACACAGAGAAGGAGAGACTCAGGACTGCAGGCCAAGAGAGAACCCCAGCCAACACAGTCTCTCCGTCAACCTGCTGACCACATTGAGTGGCCACCTGCAGGCTGGCAGAAGAACGGCCCAGCTGAGCCCTGCTCAGATTGAAGAACAGTTGGGGGTGGGATTGTTTTAAGCCACTAAACTTTTGGGGTAAGTTTGTGAGCAACATTTGACAACCAAAAACACTGGTCATTCATAGGTGCCTTTTTTCTAAGTACAAGACAATTACTCAAATGCAAAGAAAATATGGTAAATGTTTTCCCACCACAACCTTCTCAGTCAACAGCTGAACTGTAATTGGTCATCGGCTGAAAAAAAAAAAAAAAGCCACACCTCTTATCTTAATTCATAAATATCCATGATTCTTTTTCTATGACTCCTTAATGCTAATGCAAAGGTAGACCAGTAAGCTTCTGGCAGTCTCAGGCACTGGCTTAATTCTCATTTAGCCAAAAGTAGAAGCCATCAAAATGAATTATCCACTACTGGATACATGATGGTAGATGAGATTGTTCTCACTTTTCTAGGATGTTGTTACTTAATTTTCCCAAATCATTTCTTCTTACCTTGCCCCACAATGAAAAAAAAATTAAACTGGTTAAGGTTATAAAAAGAAAAAAAAAAAACAACAAAAACCTATAACTAGAATTTGAATCCTCATAATCTGCAAAATATAGCACACAATTTAACTGCTTCCTCAATTTAAAACAAAATTCTATAAAATACAACGTTGTCTACATTGTAGAGATGATTTCTTCTTATCTGAGGAAATGAGTAATTGGGAAGCAGGTATTGTTGAGTTAAAATACAGTGGTTTTTAAATGATTTCAAATTTTGCTTATCAAAAGGTAGTCAACCACAACACAAGCCTTCCAAATCCAAATTCTGTCTTCACATAAACTTTATTGCGTCTGCTCTTGATCTTTTTAGGGAGAGGGTGAAAGTCCACATCTATTTCTGTGCTGAAGTTTTGGCAGGTTTTCTCATCTTAAATGTTTCTGCTGTTGCATCAGGCCCACGTTTTCATAGACTCTGGCACTCTCTTCTCTCATTTCTGCACAGGGTGGCATTGGAGTATAAGGCAGGAGGGGGCTCTGATCCCCACTCGTCTGGTCCACTAGAGAATACTTAATATTTGTATATTCGTGCCCTTTCCTCTTGCTTTTCTGCTCTTCCTCAATCCTGCGCTGTAGTGTTTCAATATGATGCTGGACCACCGTATAGATAAATCGGTACTGTGCTTCTGTCTGGACCATCTCTGACCTCTGAGACCGCACCATCTGGATGGTTTTGGGAACGTCAATTTCGCAGTCAACACCTTTCTCTCTGATGATGTCAATAAGAATATCAATCACAATGAACGTCCCTGTCTGGCCAATGCCAGCACTGCAGGGCACCACGACCAGCCCTGCATCCATGATGCTCTCCTGCTTATGGTGCACTTCGTCCAGGAAGTGCAGCATGCCTTTGGGGTCGCAGGGCACTCCGTGGTACAGCCAGGTCCACAAGTGGTATTGCCAGACCATTCTCTCCATATTCCCTTGTCCAATCTTTGAAAGTTTAAGTTTTCTTAGCTTATAGTCATGAGTGGTGCTTTCTTTGACGTTCCTAACATGCACGATGCCATATTCTTTTAGAGCATACTCATCGGGCCAGTATTTGACACATTTACTCTTTCCTCTCTCCACTTCTTTCGTTGTCATGACAATCACCTGGGAGTTTTCTTGGAACACTATCCGCCAAAAGTCATTCACAGTGTTTTGCAGGCAGCCTTGTGGGGCAATGTAACTCTTTTTGGGCTACAAATTGTTGCACTTGGTTTCAAATTCAGGCATGATGATATCTGCGTTGATGTAATCTGAAACAGCCTCACTGGGATCACCATTGTGTAGGACAACCCTATGATCAAAGGGCAGGATGTTTTGTTTTTATATCTTTTTTTTTTTTTTTTTTTTGAGACGGAGTCTCGCTCAGTCGCCCAGCCTGGAGTGCAGTGGTGATCTTGGCTCACTGCAACCTCTGACTCTCGGGTTCACGCCATTCTCCTGCCTCAGCCTCCCTAGTAGCTGGGATTACAGGGGTGTGCCACCACGCCCGGCTAATTTTTGTATTTTTAGTAGAGAGGGGGTTTCACCGTGTTGGCCAGGGTGGTCTCGATCTCCTGACCTTGTGATCTGCCCGCCTTGGCCTCCCAAAGTGCTGGGATTACAAGGCGTGAGCTACCGCGCCCGGCCTTTATATCTATTTTTGGTTTTGTTTTCTTGCCTTCGACCCTCTTTTTGGCTGTAGAGAAGTTTGCACTCCTGTTGTTGCAGTGTCTCAAATTCTTCCCAAAAGCCTTGTCTGACTTTATCTGTGGTCTCAGCTAATTTGCTTAGTTCTCGAACTCTGCTTTCTATTTCAGCAGCATTTGTACAAGTCGTGTTAAGGGGCTGCTTGAGTTGTAGTACTGTACCCAGTGTTTCCACCATAGGATTCTTCTTCTAATGTTCCAAAGATCTGTCAAAGCATCAAACCGTTCTCCTCCACCAACATCGTATTTCAGTTCCTGACAGTGAATCATGACATGAGTCACTTTAGACTTGCCGTCATTGCTCTCTCCTTTGTCATCACCGGTGCACACGGAGAGAACAAAATCTCCAGGGTGGCTCTGGCTCTCTCGTACAAGAAAGCTACTATGCTTTCCTTTTTCAGTTAACAATTTCTCTGCTTCTTTTCCAGAGAGGTGTCCATGAAACCACCTTTGAGAAGTAGGATCTGCACAGTTCAGAGGATTTTTAAGCTCAATAACATCTCCATTCTTCTCTTTTAATTGCCCATGATGTTCCATGTAATACTGGACCAACTCAGCCAAAGTGGCAAACTTCTCCCCTCCATACAGGTCATAGCAATCACCAGTGTTCTGAATCTTGGTGTGGGTGACAGCTCCATTTCTTCTAACAGAAAGTGTGACGTCTCCAGGGTTACTTTTACTAGGCCTTGCCGAAAAACTGCCATCAACTCCTCTTGTCAACAGTAGGTTTTCTGCCTCCACACCAGTGATATTTGGGTGAAACCATTTCCATGATGTCATGTTCCTCCTGCCCTCTGGCTCCGCGATGGACCTGCTTCTTGCTCAGGGTCTGCTGGGCTCAGTCACATCGGGCTGGCCCAAGGGAGGCCTGCTCAGGACTGGCCGTGGGGCAGAGCCAGCTGGCCATGCACGGACCCCACTCCAGGCCTGGGGATCCTGGAGACTGTGCAGCTGCCCCCCGGCCCGGCTAGCTCCTCCTCCACCCCCCAATGATCACTTCTTTATATCCATGTTTTCAGTACAATTCACAAATAATATTTGTTCCCTTTTTACAAATGGCAAAATTCAAAATTTCAACATAGTCTTTCCCAACTGCATTTCTGTGGCAGTTGTTTTCTTCCAAAACACCCTAGGAAATCTTAGCTGCAAATGCTTATTACCTAGGAAAGTTTCTCTCAGCTATGCATTATCTATATTGTGAGGCTGTGTTTTTCTTTTCTGTTGTACTACATCCCATATCCACCACAATCTGTGTCAGTGGAAAGATTTTTATTCCACTCTTGCTTTGGTAGAATTATCAGGTTGCATTCATACAGAACAAAAAATATTTTCTCTCCTTGATCAGTTAAAATCTCTATCAAATATTATATTTACTAAGATTAAATAATCAACAGAAGTAATTACCTAGGAGTTTTCCCTTTAGCTATTTCATTCACTTTTTCCTGGGATACTGAGGCCATGGAAATAACCAATATTTTTGTGGTGAAAAACAGGGAAGGCTCCTTCTAGCAGTCCAAATCAATCATACCAAATATCTAGGTTTCCTCAATTTGCCACAATGCAAAGATCCACACAAAAGCACCTAAATCATACATGTAAATATTGACATCTATCACCCCAAATATAAAATAACTGATAGAGCTCTTAGCCTAATTATCTTCTAGTTATTGACCTAAAGCTAATAGGCAGTGGTCAGAAATTCTCAAACCTGAGTATTTTGCTGGAATTTCAGAGGAACTAATAGTTTAAGATGAATTCTTTTAATTTTGAAAGTTATCAATTTATGCCAAGAGTCACAATAGCTGTGGATGTCCAAACTCCTGGACCCATACTCTCAGGCACTCTTTAAAGCTGAACACTCTTGATATGGTTTGGCTGTGTCCCCACCCAAATCTCATCTTGAACTGTAGCTCCCATAATTCCCACGTGTTGTGGGAGGGACCTGGTGGGAGATAATTAAATCATGGAGGTGGTTCCTCCATACTGTTCTTGTGGTAGTGAATAAGCCTCACAGGATCTGATGGTTTTATAAGGGGTTTCTGCTTTCACTTGGCTCTCATTCCCTCTTGCCTGCCACCATGTAAGACATGCTTTTCACCTTCCACCGTGATTGTGAAGCCTCCCCAGCCATGTGGAACTGTGAGTCCGTTAAACCTCTTTTTTCTTAATTAATTACTCAATCTCGGGTATGTCTTTATTAGCTGCATGAAAATGGACTAATACAACTCTACCCCTTAGTACCCAAACAAAACACGCTACCAGTCAGAGGCCCATTTGATTTTTCTGTTATTTAACCTTGTCCTAGAGATAGCTTAAATTAGTTATGTCTCTGAATACCACTCCATTTCTACAACCCCTACCCCCATGTTTTCTCACTGTCCAGTCTTTCACGTTCTTCAATCATTCAACATTTATATTTTCTTTTTACAAAGTACTTGAGGTTTTATATGACTGTCAAAATCTGTCTCTGTTTGTTTGTACTGCTATAACAAAACACTAAGATTGGGTAATTTATAAATAATAAAAATTTATTTCTCATAGTTGGATGTTGGGAAGTCCAAGATCAAGGTGCAGGTAGATTCAGTGTCTGGTGAGAGCTGTGCTCTTGCCTCCAAGATGGTGCCTTCATGTTACTGCATCTTCACATGGCAAAAGGTGGGAGGGCAAAAGGGATGAATGCTGTGTACTTACAGGGCAGAAGAGACAGAAAAAGGCCAGGCAGCTTTCTGAAGTCTCCTTTATAATGGCATTAATGCCATTCATGAGGACAGAGCCCTCCTGGCCTAATTATAATAACTCCCAAAGCCCTCACCTCTTAACACCATCACCTTGGGGTTTAAGTTCCAACATATGAATTTTGGAGGGATATATATATTTAAACCATAGCAGAATCAAATGAATTGTTTTTTTAATTTACATGCTTTTGAAATGCCTTTGAACATCATTTACAAACATGGCTCAAACAGGAGATATTCTAACAGATACTGAAGAATTTCAGTAGTTCCTGATTTGGCTACTTTTAGCTCTTAAATTATCAAGCCATACAGTTTTTCCTATCAAAGAGTTTTCCTGCCAAAACAGTGTGATTCTAACTCACCCAGAATAAAGTCCTTAAGTATTAAAGGATCATTCAGTTTACATAAATACAAATAAGTGCTTAAGCAGAATACAGTAGCATAAAATGTGCAGCTTGTGGTGAAGTTTGAGGCTGATTTGCTGCATGAACACAGTTCTTTGTCCCAAATCTTTTCTGTTAATGTCAATGTCAATGTCAGTTTTGACTATAGAAGGGTCATTAAAGTGTACTGTATCAGCTAGTTTTGATGGGTAGACATGTCGGAACAGTAGTAACATATTCTACTCATCTGCCCAGCAGCTCTTTTCCTCAGAAGTCTTAAAGAGAGCAGGTTCATGAATAAAAATATATTCCAAAACTTTATCCTTTCCCAAGGGGCTAACACACCTGGCCCAAAGAAGACTAAGAATTCTATCCATGTAGATTTGTATATATTCAAGTTTCTACAGCTAAGCACAAGCCTGTTTGGAGCTTGAAGAAATCAAATAGTAAATATTTTCTGAATTGCTTTTATTGTTTTGTGTTTCTATTAAGAATTGGCACTTGAATTAGATCAGTTAATAACATATGCTAATTTTTGTCCAGTCTGATCACACCAGCATTAATAAAACTGTAAGTCAAGGTAGATATTTTCAGGCTGTAGAACACGTTGTTTCAGTCTGTCTTCAGGTCATTTCTGCATAAGATGGCAGGTGCAATCACAGCAGTCTACAATAGAAAAGAAGAACAGGAACTTGTTTTTCCTTAACAGGAAAAATCTCTTTTCTCATTTCTTCAGCTTACATAAAAATATTTTATTTCTATTTTCATAACATGTATTGCTTAATTATAAAAGCAATATCATCATCTAAGGTTTAGAAAAATACTGAGGAAATATTTTTTAAAGGAAGAAATATGATCCATGGTCCCACTACTGAAATAACGAAGGTCTTTGAAGCCAGACAGACCTGCGTTGAAATTCTGACTCTGTCTCTCATGCAGTAGATGTGTGACTTTAGGGAAATTACAGTCTTCTCTGCGTTTTATTTTCCTCACATGCAAAAATAAATTGCCACCAATTTTTATGTATTATTATTAAAGAAGCAAAACAAGCCTGATTCTTCTATGTATTAAAACCAGTTATTCTTCATTTGTATGTCTTGGCAACATAATGTAATATAATAATTCTTAGGAGAAAATGGACTCCCTAGTGCAAACCCTCATGCAACACCACTCTTTAACCCTTCAACTGTCAGTGTGGTTGATGGGAGGAGAGCAATAAATGGGGAAGACTGGCAAAAGAAGATCCTAGAAACCTTAGGCTCCAAACATTTCAGGTTCTTCTGTTCTTCAGGAGAGGATGTCCTCTTTGAAGTACCTAGTGGAAAATCACCATGACTGTAGCTCAAGTTCCATCAAAGAGACTGTTCCTTTTAGCTGGGGTAAAGCAGTTTATTTTATGGGAGCTCTAATGTGTTAAGGGACAGGTGCTCTATCCAAGGCTACAGAGGGAGCAAACCACTGTTAGGAATTTTAATGTCTAAACCCACTTGTCTAGTTTCCACTTCAAGAGACAGTCCCAACCACAGCAATTACTGCATCACCTCCGAAAAAACAGACTCTTAAAATCTATTGCACTCATTACATTTGCATGTTTAATTCCTTCCAATACACAACTGACATGGCTTCAAAGTGTTTGCCTGTGATTTTCAACTTCAAAATGATCTGAAAGTATTCACCCAGCAAATCAGTTTCTGACAGTGTGATTTTCTGGCTTGCCCAGAACAATCTCATTGTGCTCCTGTGAGTATTAAATGTGATAAGGCCCTTAAAGTGCTTAGCCAAGAGCCTAGAGTATAGTGGGAACTGAATACATAGTAAGAACTCAATCTGTATTAGGTAGGAAGTGTCTGTACTTTAACATATTGTCTTATGCACACTCATCTATTTACAAACAAAAATTCTAGTGTATATGCAATTGGTTGGTACATTGAATATACAGGTCGGTTTTCTGGGGGTTCGTCATGGTGTTTTACTTTGTTTTTACATTAGGGAAAATGGCATAGCCCTTTAAAAAGTCTTTTAAAATATTTTTAAAGTCTACCTAATAATCCATAAATGGAAAGGTAACAGTTTTTTAATAGTGTCTTTATTATTTGAAGACTTGGGTAGTTTGGGATTTTTTATATAAATAAAACTACAGTAAACATTTGTTTTAAGAATAATCTTTATTTGCAAATTTATTGCTCTATCTCTGATTATTTTCTTTCAATTTCTACATTAGTATATTTAACTTGTAAGATTTTCTAAAAACCAAACATTGCTGAAGAAAAACAAAATGCAAATGGATGTAACATATTCTTTGGAAGACTATATAACTTGTTTTCTATCAACTCAATAAATTTCCAACTGAAAAATAACTATCTCAAAATTAATTTCATTTCATGGGATAAAAGACATGCTCAATTTAATAAGATGTTTGTTCAAGCAAGATGATGACTTTATATGCCACTAATTTAAATTAGGATAAACTTTATGCAACAAAACATTGCAACTGGTATTTCTGTCTGGCATCCTAGACGATGAGATATTTTGTCAATTTATTTGGAGAAAGGGTCAGGTCAAGATAGCATTTCTCGTAAGACTGAATACTTAGTTTCTTATGCATTTATGGTATTATGCTAGCTGATAGCAGATTAAAAACTAAGCTTATAAAGTCCGCAGTTGCAAGCCTGTGTCAGCAAGCAGGCTCTAGAATCCATCTGTAACTGTGCTTCTTCTCACCCATAGATCCTCCTGCTGATCTCCATCCAGATACAACAGAAATTTGTGATCCTATCTGCCATGTGACATCTCAGCCACAGCCCCAGTCTAAAAAGGGAAAGAAAAGACTAATTTGCAGGCATTGCTTAGAAGAAAATGTTTTAAAAGCTTGTCAGAATTTAAATTATGTATTCTTTGAATAATGCCAAAGTCCATAATGCAACTATAAAAATAACCATTTATCCAGAAAAAATTTTAAGTTATGTCATATGTAACCTAAAGAATACTAATTTAATTTAAATGTTCGTGAATACAGGATAAAGACGATAATGCTGATGTAGTTGTTTGTCAGTTTGTGCTAAAATACAATTACAAAAAGAAAATAACTAAATATAATCTCTGTGAAAAATAGTTCATTGTCTTCCAAGCTCTGTGAAGACAAAGGCACCTCTACTAATTTCAAAGAGGTTTTAGATTTGGTCATAAATTAGTATGAACAGAATTTTCTATTTCATTACATTATGTTTGGCAATGTGCCAAAATAATCTAGACTGAGAGATTTCACTATAAATCAGGACAGGACACCAAAAACAGAAATAGCTCACTCAAATATACATACATTAAAATACATCAATTTTCCACCAAATATTTATTGAGAACCTACTATGTGTGCCTAACAATATGGTTGACATTAAGGTTCCAGGGAGCTTAAATATATTGTAACAGTAAATTATTTCACTATGAATATCATAAATTTGAGCACTGTAGCTTGCAGTGATACATCTGTCTAATTGGATCAGTTTTAGATGAATAGCTTTCAGATAACTTTATTTTTATGTGTGTTTTAAAATTTTTTATTTAATTGACAAATAATAATTGTACATATTCATGGGATACAAAACGATATCTTGATACATACAAGGTACAGTGATCAGAAGACTTAAATAAGCATTCTTCAGTAATTTACTAGGAAACTTAATTCAGATTATGGCCTTAATGACTACTGAAGTTATGTTTTAGAACATCTAATCTCAGCACCTTTGTCCACCTGAGGAAACTTCCAACTATTTCAAGTCTTTGACCATGATTATGGTCAAGGAGAATTTCAAGGGGATAAATGTAAAACAAAACAAAAGGGGACTTTTGATACCATTTTTAAAAATGAACTTATCAGAAGCAATTTGTAATTTGTGAAGGCAGTGGCTAAGTTTATTTAGAGACTACAAAGCAGATTAAGCAAAATTTTCCTTTTTGCAAAAATCAGGATTTTTCATTACCTGGCTTATAGTCACACATCACCAGAGTGTGGTACAGTACACAGAATATAGCAAAGAAGAAAACAAAGATGTGGCCCTTACTCTGAAGAAGTTTTCAATCTATTAAGACAGATGAAGTTGTAGAAAGGGCACAAGCTTGGAAAAGTAGCCAAAGAAGGGTCATTCAACTTTAAAGAATGGATAATATTCGCAGAGGCAAAAAGAGAAAGCTGAGAACAACCAGGTAAGAGAAATAGCATGAGAAGTATTTTAGGATGATGATGAACAAGGCAAGTTCAGGGATGCTGAGGGGACCAATCTGACTTAATATGGGTGTGAGGGGTGAGGGCGAGGAGGGGGCACATTTGTCAAGAGATTCCTTCATTCTGGAAGGAAAAGAGGCAGAAGGGAGTAAATGAGAATTTACGGCATGTTTGAATATATATGTGTGGGAGTGGATATACGGATGGGTAATCTGAACTTAAGGCTCCTACTCCACAGACTGTCACATGAATAATGATATCCTCAATGGTATTTCAAAGCACAATATTCAAGCTCCTACTGTCATGCAATATTTTTTCCACAAAATTTGTTGAGCCACCTGAATGTTTATTAAATACTGACATGGACAAGCTTATAACCAAACTAAACAAGTCCAGTATCTTCCTTCCAGACAGCCCGCCCCATACTACCATTCTGTAATATCCCAGAATCCTAGCATCTAAGACCAACAGTCTGTGCCTCTTATCTCTGGAGACAGAATTCAGATGTCTTATTTAAAGCTAGAAGGTGTCACAGTCCCTATCAGAAACCTGTTCATCCTATTGAGGGGCTGTCCACTGTCAGTACTACCAAAACTTGAAGTATCAGTTCACAACTGAAATCTGGACTTACCAATAATGTCATCTTTTCATCACTCTGCCCCTCATCCCATCAAAAACCTCCACCATGCAGTCAGGAGACCACCCCTCTGCCTCTATCCCAGAGCTATACTGAAACAAGGGTGTCAAATTGCACTAGAATTTTTAGGGTTTACTTAAATAGCTTCTTCTCAGGCTTCAAGCCTGCCAGTTACTTGCCTGGGTTGGGGCAGATTTTATTGACTGTCAGTTTATAAACTTCAACCCACTCTACACCTCTGACCACTGGATGAGGCACAGGGCAATCCCACTCCTCAACTGTTATTTTTAACTACATTGTAACTTCAGAAGATTTGTTGACTTCCCTGAAACCAGGAATTGCCCACAATCCCATGTCTACTCTGGCAGTATCAACAATATTTAATTTCAGAGATAAGAGTTTACAGTTTTGATTTTTCCTCTCCACTTCTTCATAGCCACCAAAGGGACCTGAGCTCCTCGTGGAAAGTTACCCACTCTTTTCCACGTGCCCTTCAGTACCACATCTCAACACTTTCATTTTTAAAAACTAAATTCCACCGGGTGCGGTGACTCACACCTGTAATCCCAGCACTTTGGGAGGCCGAGGCAGGCGGATCACGAGGTCAGGAGATCAAGACCATCCTGGCTAACACGGTGGAACTCCATCTCTATGAAAAATAAAAAAAAATTAGCTGGGCGTGGTGGTGGGCGCAGGAGAATCGCTTGAACCCAGGAGGCAGAGGTTGCAGTGGGCCAAGACCGCGCCACTGCACTCCAGCCTGGGTGACAGTGCGAGACTCCATCTCAAAAAATAATAATAATAATTAAATTAAATTCCACATTCCCAGATACTTGTCATAGATTAGGAAGAGATCATTTCAACTAGTACCTAGAAAGGAAGAGAAAAGAGAGACAGGCACAGAGACTATTGAAGTCTTAGACTATTATTACATTGGTTCTCTTCTACCATGTTAACTGTGTTTCAACAAGTAGGTTTAAGGCTAAATGCAGCTAATTTAGTGATTATAAAAATAATCTACAATTGACTGGAGCAATAACATGGTGAATAAAAACATTTATTGTAGCTTCATTAAAAACTGGCATTTATCTCTCAAGTTTTTCCAAATGGTGTTTGAATAGAAATGATATATTTTTAAGTAATTTATTCCTCAAGTTTAATATGTGGATTTTTATGATGATAAAGCATTATAAAATGTTAAGTAGTTATTTGCTAATCTTCTCAGGGCTGTCACATGAATAATGGTATCCTCAATGGCATTTCAAAGCACAATATTCAAGCTCCTACTGTCATTCAATAATGTCACTTCTCAGGCTGTGACAAATTAAGAAATATGATGCAAATATGTTTTCCAAGATTAAAACAAAAGAATGCAATTGAAAGAGTGTAGGAAAATTGGCATGTCTTCATGTCTTAAACAGAATCATAATACTGTCTGCTCAAAATCCAAAATAAAGATAAAAATGGAAATTTAGAATGGTACACTAAGATATTCAATATAAGTTGAATGTAACAGCCTACAAGTCACCAAGACTTCACCAATTCTACGACATCTAAACATCTAAGCTTAATATCAAAATAGCAAGTGACTTAATATTCAGAAAGGAACAGGCACATTTAGGCCACTTTAGTCCCTTCAGTACAAACTGAATACAGCTGTGGATAAAGAGTCTCAATTGTTTCCAGTTTCTGAGAACACATTAGGCCACTTAATATAACATCCTGGTATATTATTTGCTTTTTTTATTAGCCAAACAAGATAGACTGATTGATTGAGTCACTCACAGGTATTCATTCCTTCAACAAATATTTATTAAAGGATTATCATGTCAGACACCAGGCTAGAGGATTTTCCCACATCACTTAATTGAAATTCAACAAGTATTCTGTTATAATGAGGATTCAATGAGTTAATATTTGTACAGTGTTTAAAACAGTGTGTGGCACATAGTAAGTGCTATATGAATGTTTGTTAAATAAATTATGTTGAAGAGTCGGTTGTAATATGATCTTTGTACAAGATTTTGATTGTTCTATTTCTTGTCTCTTAAAAGTTTCTTTCTTTTTTTTTTTTTTTTTTTTTTGGAGACGAAGTCTCGTTCTGTTGCCCAGGTTGGAGTGCAGTGGCACAATCTCAGCTCACTGCAAGCTCCGCCTCCCAGGTTCACTCAATTCTCCTGCCTCGGCCTCCTGAGTAGCTGGTACCACAGGCGCCCGCCACCACGCCCGGTTAATTTGCGTGTGTGTGTGTGTGTGTGTGTGTTTAGTAGAGATGGGGTATCCCTGTGTTAGCCAGCATGGTCTTGCTCTCCTGACCTCGTGATCCGCCCGCCTTGGCCCCCCAAAGTGCTCGGATTACAGGCGCGAGCCACCGCGCCCTGCCAAAGGTTTCTATAGGCATAAAAGAACAGCAGGGTCCTAAGATACCAGCCAGGAAGCCAGGCACAGGAAACAACTAAGTCAATATATGCCCATATAAAAATCACCTGATGGTAAATTTCTCTGGAAAAATTCTATAGGACTGACATAATAGTTTTTATATCACTTTTAAAATTTTTTTTATTTTTTTTGAGACAGAGTCTAGTAATCTCACCCAGGCTGGAATGCAGTAGTATGATCTTGGCTCACTGCAACCTCCACCTCCTGGGTTCAAGCAGTTCTGGTGCCTCAGCCTCCCAAGTAGCTGGGATTACAGACGCACACAACCGCGCCCGGCTAATTTTTTGTATTTTAGTAGAGACTGGGTTTCACCATTTTGCCCAGGCTGGTCTTGAACTCCTGAGCTCAGACAATCCACCCACCTCGGCCTCCCAAAGTGCTAGAATTCCAGGCATGAGCCACCCTGCCTGACCTAAAATATTTATTTAGCATGTACTTATGAAGTAGTATACACCAGGTTCTATTCTAACTGCTTTACATATAATAACTCATCTAATTCTCAGGCTAACTCTATGATACTAGCATTACTCCACTTTATGGATGAGGAAACTGAGGCACACAGAAGCTCACTAACTTGCCAAAGTCATATAGATAATAAGTGGTAGGGCCTACATTCCTACCCAAGTACCCAAGTAGTCTGGCTCCGGAGCTCAAGTTCGTAAACACTAAGTGAACATGTCGGCATATGAAGGGGTCAGCATTTATAAGAACCCTCACAGCCTCTGTCTCCCTGAGTCAGCATTGTTCTGTGTGCATCAACTGACTTGTCGTGTAACCCCATGATCACAGATTTTACTTTATGAAAAGAGATGGTCAAAGGACACTTTTGAAATATTCCTAAACCATACAAAAAGTCTAAAAGGAAAACTGAGGTGACAGATTATAGTTCAGGACTTAAATCAGTTTCAAATTTGACATGATCATAATTAATCACTTTTGTGTTCACACGTATTTTGCAAGAAGACTTAGAATCCATCATGTACTGACAAAGAATGAAGTAAGCGTACCTAGACCCTCCTCAATTGAATAGAGGACATTCCAACTCCTTTGCCCTGGCCCCTGCCCACTGCCCTAAATTAATTCACTATAAATAAGGACATCTAAGCAAACTACAGATCACAAGGAGTAGTAACTACCAACAAACATGAAACACTACTTTTCCATACTAGATAAATTGCAACAATTGTGGTAGAATAGCTTTGAAAGTTGTATTGAATTTAGAAATCTGGCTTTAGGAAGTACAGCAGAGGAAGCCAACTTTTCTGAAATAGCCAATAATGCAGAAACACTTTAAATGGTATTGAATGCTCCCCAGTTTCCTGAGGACCAAATAGATATTTCAGCAATTTATCAAGAACAATTAATCCTAGAAAATTGCCAATAATTCCTCTGTCTCAGAAAGAACGACCCATCTGCATTCTCGCCTTCCAAGAGCATGGCAGAGTTTGTTTCTCAGTTCTTCCCACAATTCAACTCTGATAAGTGAAATAAGGAAGGAGCTAAAAAGCGTGAAGAAATTTTTCTAAAATGTTTACAACCACAGAACCTGCCAACTGCTGCTTCCCCATTAGCTGAGTATGTTTTGGGCCACTGAAGCTCGGGTGTCAGCTCCTGGCTTGACGACGATTCCGTAAACAAAGAGACTTCAATATGTTTTATGCCCAAAATGCTCAAAACAGACACAGAGGCTCACAGGCCTGATGCCTGAGCCTCCCGCAAATGCTCAGCCAAACCACTCTATCAATCACGATTATTTGGTGCCCCCCTCTGGCCTTACTGCAGCAATTTCATTTAGCTTTCCTAAGAAACTGAAAAGAATTCTGAACGAAAGTCCAGGGTGCAATCACAAAAATCTGCCTGCAAGAGAAACCTAGTTTTGTCTGCACTTATAATAATTACTCCAATTCTCAATGGCAGAGGAAAATTTGGCAGGGCTGACTGCATGTTAAAAGCATGGTGATAAGAATGTTATATCACCATAACGTTCTTAAGGTGATATAATTTTGCTTTATGTATTTTTAAACATCCCCCAAGGAGATAGAGAGCTCTATCAGTTCCTCACAGTTAAGATAACTAGGCTACCTGGGCTCTGCTCAGAAGAATAAGTCAATTTACTCTGGAGAAATAATTCTGTGAAACTCAGACAGAGTTAGAACATCATGCAGTTGAAAACTGTATCAAAAACTCAGGCTAAACAATATTACTTATTAAGGTCATATAATACATATACGAGTTATTCACTAGCTCTTACCCAAGTTCCCTGGGTAAGCAAACTACAGAGACAAGAGTTTGTGTCCAGTTCCAGAGAGCTTCCAGGCTCCCAAAATGAATTTTGTCTCCAAATCCAAGGCCTCCTTCACTGTGCGCTTCCCCCTCACTGGCTCCCCCGACCCCCTACCCCCAACCCCCACCGGGACTGAGGTGACCATGCTCCTTCTGTTGGGTCAACATTGTCTGATCTGTTTTGGGGACAGCACATACAAGACTTTCCAGCCATGTTATGAAAGGGCTAGGCAAGGGGACGAGGCACCTCACACCCACATTACTGAGAGCGAGTGGAGTAGTACAAGTGGCAGAGATAGGCCCTATGGGGTTTCCAGAGCAGCTCTGAGGGTGCTAGATCCTAACAGGGCAAGATGACAAGGGGAAGTCAAGCTGTGAAGGCAAGAGGGAGAGGAGCCAAGGAGGTTCCTGTGGGTCAGAGGAAAGTGACTGTGGAGGAAGTCTTTGTCCAGGGCTTTGGGTGTTGGCGTCAGCTCCTCACGCAGCAGGTATAAGACAGACGGAAGGCACATAGGAACATTCGTAACTCTTCTAACTCTTCTAACATCCCTAACTCTTCCTTTCTTGCCCCTTTCTTCAGAGTTTGGAAACTCAGAGACCTCCAGGATTGGAACATGCAACTGATTCTTATTTGAAAGTGGTGAAAAACAAAACTGAAAAAGTCGGTGAGGAAAAAAGATCAACTAAAATTCAGCTTTGGGATAAGGACGAATTTAGCACCTTTTCTGGAAATCTCTGAAGCAATTACATTTGTACCCAGTAAATATTCTCATTTGGAAAAAAAAAACTGCTCAAGAAAGAGAGTAATAAAAATAACCACAATGAGGGCTCTCATTAATACTGGATCTTATGGAAACCAATTGTTCAGTCCCTCAACAAAAGACCAGATGGGCAGGAAGCTAAATATACACCATGCACTAAACATTATGAGTATCATAGTTTACAAGTCAAAGGGGGCTCTATTGAAGATAGTTCTATTTTCCCTCTATATTATCTGCTAGACAATACCTGATAACATTATCCAAGTAAATGACAACTTGATAAATAGTAATTTCCAATGGTGAACAGAGGTGACATTTCCTCATTACAAAAATATTTTCTTTGGCAGATGAGATTAACTGAATAAGAAATCCACTGACACTGAAATCACAGAGCCAAATTCCCTATCACAGCACTTATCACATTGCGTTAGGGTTGTTTGTTAAATATCTTTACTTACTTTCCTATACGCTATAATATTTGCTTTTTTCTCCCCAGTGCTTTACAAGGGGCTTGACATACAACAGGCACTCAAATAATGTTTTTTTTTTAAATTTCAATTGAATGTCCCTTTTAAGGGCATTTGCTCACTGATTTAATAAGGGAACAGTAGCCTGAAAGTACAGGTTCTGATCTTTCACAGGTAGGTAAATTTTTTAAATGAATGAGGGTCTGATCTGAAAAATACTGAGGAATTTTACATCAAATGTTTTAGCGCTGTTTCATAAGAAGATAGGAATTCTGGCTCAAGTGGGTGGTTATCAGTTTCTAATCAGTGATCCCATTTTAGCACCCTCAAAGAGGAACAAAATAAATTACCTTCTATTTGTGAAATGAAAAAGTAAAAATGTAAAGCAATTTAAACTGAGAATACCTATATAAAGGAAAAAAATTGTGAGGCTCAATCTTAGGTTTTAAAAAGGATTTCAAAACAGCTTTCCAATACTTCTAAGACTCCCATGAAAAAGATGAGATTAGAATATGAAGTAACAATTTCCTCCAAAGTATACACATGAAAGTTGGCACAGAAACACCGTTTATTTGGGCAATGACTGAAACAGTTGGCCCATTTAATCAGACAAGTGGTTTGAGTTCATCTTGTTTCCACCTGCACAGAAGTACAGCACAACAGGACAGACAAGCCCCCAGCAGGGAGGTCGAAAGAATGCTTTACCCTATCTGATTCAGTGATCCTCTTCTGACGTTATGTCCATACTGAAGGGGATAATAATGCATCAGATGATTTCAGGTAACTTATCTCCTCCCCTCCTTCTTACCTAGCAAGTAACATAACTCACCTGTCTCACGTGCAGAGGAGAAGCACAGCCTTGAATCACAAGTAGGTCTGGGAGCAGCCCTAGCAATGCCTCTTGGGGCAAGCTTGTCCCATTCAATAAGCACATCTTTCCAAAAGACCAACAGCCCCTCAATGCAGAGACCAGAAATTCCAACAGCATTCTCCTATCTAAGACATATGCCTACAGGAGCACAGATATTTTTAGGAATAATAACAACTATAAAATCATGTTTGATTTGATTCTATTTTTTGGCTTCCTGCATACATATTTGGTATGATCCTTGTACCAAATCAACCATTGTACCATCTGTAGCAGAAAAAGACATATGCAAGACTGATGACTTCCTTATCCCACTGCCCTCCCTACGCTAAAATTAATAAGAAGAGAAGAAACGTTAAGTCATTAAAATTCTTCATGCAAGCACGGCCTCTCCCTGCTCCCCACTTCACACACTTTATCATCTGTGAATGACTATGGACTTACAAGTTTCCAATCTGACTTCCTCGGGAGATCCAATGAGTCTGTCTATATATGGCATGGAAGCTTGCCCCTCTCTTTAGACATTTTATGCAGTTCTGAGGATGCAACAAATCTCATTTGGGAGCTGCACACCATCACCCACATATTAAATTGTCACCCGGAGTAATAAAATTCACAAACTCCATTTCATTTTTTTATCACCATGTTGCCTGATAATATAAAAAGGTGTCATATACCTTTGATTTGTAGCTTGTGTGTTTGTGAAATAGCCCCTCCACAAACAACCTGATGAAGTCAAGGAAGCTGAATGACTTTTTTTTTTAATGCCCAAGTCTATTTCCCTGTAAATATTCATGTGCATAAACATAAAAGTGTTAAATGGTGTGAAATCTTGGTAATTGCACAAGTAGGAAAAAGTCATAGCATGATTGTTCTGAGTGAGGTAGAAATTTCTAGACTCACTGCCTGTATCAAAAGCAGTGACCCCAAATTACATAGGCACGTATGGCATTTCTAGACCTTCAAATTACTGACTAAGATATCAAAAAATGCCACATTGGTCATATATAATTGAAAAATGGCTATCTGCTCTTTCACAGCTTTCCTTAATTTAGGTGTCTTTTGTGATATGCAAAACATATTTATACCTGATCCATTTTAACAACCTGTTTCCTAATGAATATGTTTGTAGTTCATTTTGACAGACACTTGGCTAACAGTCATTCTTCTGCCACTCTTATGTGGGGGGAAGAGAATACCAATCAATCACAGATGCCATTTAGATTTCTAGTAATCATGTTTCCAGAAAAATAATAGAGATTTTGGTAGTCATGTGTGTTAAGATCATCGGCTATTCTCATCATTATTCATCAACTTGATTCTCTGTGGAGTGATTTTTAACAGTTGGAGGTGTCACAGACTCTTTCAAGGATATGATGAAATACCTAGGCTTCTCCCCTAAATAAAATAATCATAAACACTACTTTTTTTCTATAATGTAAGGGATTCACAGACTTACAAAGTTGATCAACCATGGATGATTTCAGGTTAACAATCTCTGCTCTAGGATTATGATTATAATTGTCTTTAAAACATCATTATGATGGCAGTGTGAAGAACAGGCTGGGCTAGGGGAAGACAGGCTGCACGGAATGTATTTGCCATTTTCATTACAGCCAGTGAGTGGTGAGGGTGATTTTACCAGAGTGCAGGCAATAGAAAGTAAAAAAAAAAAATAGGGAACAAAATCAACAAAACCTGGAGATTGAAAGGGGGTTTTATATCTATACAGAAAGAAAAGAAAAAGACCTCACTCCTTAGTCATGTCTGACATTTCAAAAAAAAAACATGAAGTAGAAAATCAGCTCTCCAAAGTTTTAAGGCTTTTATTGGTATATTTTTATTTTGCATGAAAATAACCCTTTGATAACTAGTAAATAAAGACTATCTGCACAGAATATGCTTTTAGTGATTAGATATATTTGCAAGTTGATTTTTTCTAGAATTTCTAAAGAAGGTTAGTTTCTCATTCATCTATAGGCCGTGTTCTATAAAGGTGTTGCCTTATGTTGCCAACAACACACTCATTGCACTTAAACAGTGACTGGAAAGGACAAATTTAAAGTGTCATTGCTTTAGAAGGAATAAGTAGTAGAGTATGTTCTTCACATAACCAGTGAATGTGGCAAAGGAAAATTAGCAAACAAAAGCATAATAAATTTATTTGGAACAATAGTAGATTGAATATGTACATCTATTTCTTCTCTGTCCTGAAATTTTCCCCAAATAACAATATGAGAAATAAAATATAAAAGGTACAAGTTCCAAGGAGAAGAAAATAATATAAGACTACTGAAATTGAAAGACTTCAATAATTTTTTAAAAGATAGAAAACAGATATAGGATTAGTAACAGACTTAATATATGAAAGAAGTATGAACAGAGTGTTCTACAAAGAGGACTCCTTGAAAGACTCTGGATTTGAACTATCAAAATAGTTACTCCTATCAAAATAGTTCAAATAGGAGTAAGATGTATATGATTATAACCAGAGGCATTAATTAAAATTCTTTATGTGAAAATATTAGATCAGGCTGGGCACCATGGCCCACACCTGATGCCAGCACTTTGGGAGGCTAAGGCTGGTGGATCACTTGAAGCCAGGAGTTTGAGACAAGACTGGCCAACATGGCAAAATCCCGTCTCTACAAAAAATACAAAAATTAGTCAAAGGTAGTGGGGTGCACCTGTACTCCCAGCTACTTGGGAAGCTGAGGCATGAGAATTGCTTGAGCCTGGGAGGCAGAGGTTGCAGTGAGCCAAGATCATGCTACTGCATTCCAGCCTGGGGGACAGAGCAAGACTGTCAAAAAAAAAAAAAAAATCTATAGGCCACTCTCAACCATCCTTGCATCCTTGGCAGCTTGGTGGTTATCCCTCTCACATCTCACCCCCACCATTACTGCTTCCTTAAAGGACAGGATCTGAAGGCTTCAGATTTAGGGCACCAGGCCTAAGTAGAAGGTAGGAAGGTGGGAACATGGAGCTGACAATAGGACTGAATAAGCAGTTTCACAGTGAATAGTAGATCCAGCCTCAGCCTCCTTCCTCCTCCCTGCTTATAGAATGCTAGAGCTGGGCTTAAAGCCCCATCCCAAGATAGTATATGAGAGGATGCCTCCCTAGAATAAATCAAATAGTCCCAAAGAAAAGACACTCCAAATTTGAAGGCTTCTAATGAAAGAGCTGAGTTCCCCTGGACTACCCTGTAAATTATCAGCAAATAAGTTCCCCTGGCCTGCAGCTTCCAATCAACTTTCTATTGCTTCAATCTTCAAACATGACTGCCACAAGTGTTTTAGAGAAATTTCCAGCAGAAAAAAATTTAGAAATAGGGGAAAAAAGAAAAAATAGGAATACAAAGGAAAAAGAGGCAATGCAGGGTATAAGAAAGAATTTTTTTTAATTGGCCATTACTATTCTCTGAGAAATGAGTTTATGTCAGTAACAAAGAACAGAATACTATTTAAAAGGAATAATGAGAGACAAGAAGCCCTTGAAAATTCAAAACAGGACAGCTAAAATTTAAAACAAATCAATGAAAGGAAAAGGGAAATATTCAGTTTTGTTTCAAATATGCCTTTTTTGGTTGTGTTTGGCACCTAAGAAAAAACTAAATATCCCACCTCTATTTATCCCTAAAAGACATTTTGTATATTACAGGAAGAGATTCCCAGGTCATTAGATTATATATTCATAATTTTGGGCTTTTTAAAATGAAATTCTTAAGAGCATATGCTTGCCTTGTAACCAAGCTCATGCTCAGCTACTCACCACTTGCAAAAGCAGTAACAAGAATGAAGTGCAGTGAAAAGGAAAGTGACTTTATTTTCCAAAGCTAACAGTGGGGACGCAGCTGGCTTTTGCCTCTAGGAACCACTTCAAACTTTAGGCTGGAAAGAGGGGCTTACAAAAGGGAACTTGGAATGGGAGGCATGAGGGAGGGATGCTGAGTCCAAGGTCTGAATGTTTTGTGCTATCTCAAGCCTTGGGCCATCTGGAGCACAGGCTGGTGTCATCTCAGCACTGGCCAGGTTGATGACTAACTGCCTTGAGGTAATCTCTGGAATTTGGCAGCTGGGTCTCTATGCTTTGTCTGTTTTAAGATTAGCCCCTTGGAACTTCTAAGTAAGCACATAATTAGATACAAGCATACAGTTAGATAAATGTGCACGAGGTGAGGGAGTGTATGGCAGGAAAGGGAGGGACATGGTGTTTCAAAGAAAGTACACTCCAAGGCCATATTTTAAGACTAAGGAGAAGAAAAAAAAGGGGGGTTTGCAGTAAGCTTCAAGGTTATATCTTCGGACTGGGGGAAAACAGTTTTAAAATAGATTTTCAGGCTAGACTGTTCAGCTTTACTGCCTGGATTGTAAATTTTTGTAGGGCAGGAGTCAAAATTCCTCAGTTTACACTTAGGTTTCACAGAACCTGGTACATTTTTGGTCCTCACTAAGTGTTGTAAGAAATCCTTTTTGCAAATATTCTTAATTATTCTAAACATGTCTACATCTTTTAGGATGGAAGAAGCAGGAAATGTTCAAATAAGTTTAAACATATTACGGGGGATCTACTAAGAGAACAAGAAAAATAACCACTATTTTTGAGTTAAATAATGGTAGTAAAACAGAAGAGGAAAAATAAAAGATTGTATTTCAAAGTGAAAACAATAAAAATGTGAAAATACTAAGTTAATCAGCAAAGAGTTATGTTACTTATTGAATACAGCATGAAGATGGATGCCCTGAGTTTTTCTAATATCATACAACAAATATTTATCAATGGCTATGTGCTAATCACTGTGCTAGATGTGTTTGAGATGTAGAGATGAAAACAATAGAGCATCTCTCTTTAAAAAGCACAAAGTATAGCAAGACCAGATTAAAGTAGAATATGATAATCCCTTTTCTTAGAGGACATACAAGCACTGTATACACATTTCAGGCTAGAGAAAAAATTGGTTGGGATATGATTTTAGAAAAAATCAACTTAAGCAGAACCTTGAAGACAAGTCAAGAAGACCAGAACGAAAAAGATATTTTGAGCTGGGACGATAAACCACTGCAGTTTGCCCAGGGAATGAGGCTTTGTCTGTGATGGTGAGAATTTCAGGGCTAAAACCAGTAAAGTTCTAGGCCCTCAGGAGCATTGTGCACCACATAAAGGAGTTTGGAGTATAATCCTAAATCAATGCAGAAACATTGACAGGTTTTTCCTCAAGGAAGGGAAATATTCTGATTTGTCTTTGGAAAGATCATTCTGACTGCCCTGTGGAAGGTAAATTGGGAAGCTAAGACAGGAGGAAAGTGAACTGGTCAGGGAGCATCTCTACTAATTCATGGGGAAAAAGACAGAGAAATATGGAAGCTTTAATGAGGATATTGGGGGAGAGATAAATTCAAGAGATATTTAGGCAGTTGAAACAATAGTATTTAAACACTTATATATGAAGGTTCTATAATTACTCTCATGTTTCTGGCTTAATAGCTCAGCAGATGGAGGTTTCATTCCTCAAGAATGGAAATATAAAAGAAAGAACAGACTTTGAGTGGAGATGTTCAGGGAGGGGAAGATCATGAATTCTGTTGGATGGGTTGAATATAGAAGCCCCATAGAACATCCTAATCAAAGTAGCAGGAGGTGCATATCTTTAATGTACTTCTTGTACCCATGACTAAGCTTTATGATGGAGAAAAAGATTTGTAAATCATCAGTATTCAGGTAGTGGAATGAAAAGAAAATAATACTAACCAATATTTAAATGGTAAGGAGAGGAAAAGGAGCCTAAGGATATGGAGTAGAAGATTCCAGTGAAGAAACAGAACCTCCAAGCCAGACTTCTGTCAAGGAACAATGGTAGGAAAGAGTTTCAAGAAGGCAATGATTGGTTAGTATATCAGTCAGGGTTCTCTAGAGAAACAGAACAAATAGGAGATAGATGATCAGACAGATAGATGATAGACATATATACAGATACACATCTATATCTATCTGTATAAAGAGATTTATTACAGGAATTGGCTCACATAATTATGGAGGCTGAGAAGTCCCATAATCTTCCATCTGCAAGCTAGAAACCTAGGAAACCCCAGTGTATAATTCCAGTCCAAGTTTAAAGGCCCAAGAACCAGGAGTCCAGATGGTGGAAACCCCAGTTTAATGTCTAAACGTTAAACCCCTGCTTTCAGCAGGATGAGATTAATTTCCCAGCTCAAGCAGAGAGAGCGAATTCTCCCTTTCTCCACCCTTTCATTCTGTCCAGGCCCTCCACAGATGGTAAGATGCACAGCCACACTGGGAAGGGCAATGCGCTTCACCCAGTCTCCCAATTCAAACACTAATCTCATCCAGAAACAACCTCACTCTGTTGTTTCACACAAGAAATAATGTTTATCCAAATATATGGGGACCCTGCGATCCAATAAAGTTGACATAAACAATTATGTGTCAGTTTCTAAAGCTTCCAGGAGATCAAAATAGGAAGTCCGAAATGTACCCAAAGATCTTGTTGCTCTGGAGTAAATTAGAGACCTTTTCCAGTGCATGTTTGGTGTCGAGATGGTGACTAAAACTTGATGACTGTAAGTAAGAGTGTCAGAAAGCAAGGAAAGAAATTATAGACTAATATTTCAAGAAGCTTGGCTAAAACAATATAACATTTGGCTCCTGCCTCAGAAAAATGACACTGTTAGAAATTAGGAGTCATCTCGATTCTGCCAACAAACTCAGCATTTTTAGGCATCCCACAACCCTCTCTATAATATCTTTGGCTGTACAACTCTGCAATCAATAAAATGTGTTCAGTGAAAGACCCAAACAAAAGAACTATCATTTTTGCATCATATTAACATATATTATAAATCAAAGTTATAGTTAGTTCAACTTTGCTAAGAAAAACTGGCATTGCCTGTGGCATAACCAACGTGGTAAGAACTGGTTTCTACTATTCAACATAGTCCATGAGCAGCTCTACAGGCAAAAATGAATTTTTCAGGTGATTTATTCAGCCTAAGTTTCTTAAAAATTATACAGTACAACAAATTCTTTGGAGTCTAGTCCAAAAACAAATAGGAATCTGTAAAAATCGAAGCAATTGCTCTTGATTTCTGGAGATGGAATCTCTGGATGTCAAATGGAATTTCTTTTCCCAAACTGAGTCACCAGAATTATAATTCTGATTTTGGTAAATTGTCCCCAAATCTGCCCTTACTATCAGATTATAGAAGTCTGAATAGGGCTACGGTATGCTGCAATAACAAACAATCCCATAGTTTTGATGACTCAAACAAGAAAGATTTCTTTCTTACTCATGTCCATAACAGGTTAACAGGGGATTCTGCTCCTTTTACTTATTCAGAGACTCAGGCTCATAAAGCAGTCACCATTCAAACATCACAGAGTTAAAGGGTGCCCCAGAGAGACTTGCAATTAACCAGAGAGTAACCAAAGTCACCTTTGCTCATAATATTTTCTTAAAACTAGTCACATGGTTCCCACACAGATACAATAGAACCATGAAATCATGGAATTCAATCCGACCATGACCTCAAAAAGTGAAGAGATGGATATATTGGGAGAATTTTGATAATGACGACCATGTGAGAGCATTCTGGCTACACCTGTATCTTCCCAAAGGTATGTAAATATGCACACACATACACACGTATATACATATGTGTAGCAATGAGAAATGTCACCTGGGTGGTGTCTACCTTTGAACATTGTTTCTTGTGTCAACACATTAGCATCATTTCGTTATTTATCTACTCAGATGGCCTAATCAAACCAGAAACCTTCAAGAAATCCAAGATAGAGTTTTAAATATTTCTTTAAATGCGGTTATCTGTACACACAAAAAGAACAATCATACCAAGAAGACAGTATATTTTTTAAATTACATAAAATTATTTTCTGTAAGAATAATTGGGTACTATGCTGCTAAAGAGAAGCAGTTCCCACATTTCACTGGGAAATGAGTACCCTATTTTTATAAAGGGATAATCAAGGTTTAATTTTTGCTTGGAAAGACAGAAAGAGAAAGAGAATGTTTGCACAGACTGCTACTGCCACAAGTCTTCTCCCTGAACGGTTTCCTCTAGCTATATTTTTAATGCATTGGCTCCTTTCCAGACTTCTTTAGATTACGTAGTGAAGTACTAGAAAAAATGCAGTGTTTTCACCTTGAACTTCTAGTAAAGACGCCTTTAATTTTTTTCCTAAGCCTCTTCCTTCCCAAAGCCAGACAAGTTTTCTTTTGTTGCAATCAGACATTTATTTCCTCAATAAATTCAGAATTCTTAGCACCCTAGAAATTAATTATACAATGAAAGTATTAATGACACAGTTGAAAATTTTACTTGTATGCTTGTACCAACATTTGTTTCTATACGATATATTTTTTTTCTAATTAACACCTTCCAGTGTCTCTGGTTAACTCATTGTTGCTCTTTCATCCCACTCACAACTATTTTGAGAAGGTTAAGTCCTATGGATAATTCCATGGTAACATTCATTAGTTTTCTCCTGACTAATTTATTTAGAGCCAGTGAGTCCGAAGTAACCCTTTTTCTAATGCAAGAACCTGTCTTTTAGAGCAAAGCTTCCATTCTGTATTTTCTTTCTAAACCAGGGCACGTCTCCGAGCATCTCAAGGGAACAAGTTTCTAGAATTAGTTTTGCCTCTTCTTTTGAACGTTAAACTGAATCAGCTTTCCCTGAGCTGCCATTTTGGTGCTAGATTCTTGTGCCACTTGGATTCTTGTGGATTCATGCATAGTCTAAATTGGTATAAATTCCTTGTCTCAATCTGATCCTGCTGCTATAACAAAATATCTTAGACTGAGTAATTTATAAATAATAGAAAGTTAATTCTCACAGTTCTGATGAAGGTGAAGTGGAAGATCAGGGTGCTCAGCAGGTTCAGCATCTGGTGAGGGCACAGTCTCTGCTTCCAAGATAGAACCTTGAATGCTGCATCCTCCTGAGGGGACAAATGACACCGAGAGAGTAGAATAGAGTGGAATTCTCTGAGAGGTAGTAGAATAGAGTATGACTAGTGTGAGTGTGATTGTGTGGGACCATGTGTGAGTGTGACTGAGTGTGACTAGGTGTCAGAAGGACTGTGTGAAACCAGGTGTATTGGAACGGTGTGGGACCATATGTGAGTGTGACTAGGTGTGAGTGTGAGTGGGTGGGACCATGTATGCATGTGACTGAGTGTGACTAGGTATGCATAGGACTGTGTGAGGCTAGGTGTATTGGAACTGTGCGGGACCATGTGTGAGCGTGACTGAGTGTGACTAGGTATGAGTAGGACTGTGTGAGTCTAGGTATACTGGAACTGTTTGGGACCACATGTGAGTGTGACTAGGTGTGAGTGGGTGGGGCTGGGCATGAGTGAAATAAGCGTGAATAAGTGTGGGTAGGACTGGCTGTGCCTGAAGTTTGTGTGAGTGGGTGTGACACATGCCCAGTGTGTATATGAAGTGTGTGAAGGGCACTGAGGATGAATGAGACATTGTACCTGAGTGAGAGGGAAGGAGTTCCTGAGGGAGTGACTGCATTTGAGGGACTGACTGTGCGACTGTGAGTGAGCTGACTCTGGTGTGCATATGGGTAGGGCTGGGTGAGACCGAGTAGTACTAAATGGAGGCCAGTGGGGTGGCTGGTCATGAATGTGAAGGAGTGTGAGTGTGAAGGGAACGACCAGGAGTGTGAGTGAATGGAACAAGTGTGTACGGTTGGGCGAGAGTGAGTGGGGCTGAGTAAATGGAGGACACTGAGTGTGAGTGATTGTGGGAAAGTGGGGATGTGAGTGTGGATGAGTGTGAGGCTAAGTGAGTGCACAGTCCTAGGCACATGTAAATGGAACTCAGTGTGTCTGTACACACGCCAGTGCCACTGGAGGTCAGAAAGGAAGTGGGCTGAAATCAAGAAGGCATTTAGGGATTAGGGGACACAATGAAGTCAGAATCGAAAGCAAGGAAGCCGCTAACCTGGCAGGAACCAAAATGACACAATTATTGAAGAATAAGTCAAGGAAAAGACTTTTTAAATATCATAAGAACAGGAGGACAAGGTGAGAGAATTAGGTTATCACATAAGCACTTGGGCTCTATCAGGACAGAAACCAAGTAAATGCCCAGGTAGCTGACCTGACATTCTAGCTACAGAGAGAAATGTTCTTAAATGCCTATTCATAGAGAACTGACTAATTCCAGGGCAAGGATCCCTCAGTGCTCACTTGTGAGACTAGGGAGATGACTGAAAGCCCATTTAGGGTGAGATGAAGTTTTGATAAAAAAGTCATTTAGTTAATTGAGCTTCTTATTGTATCTCTTCTTGCCTCCAATATCCATAAAAACTTCAAAAATTTCATGCAACACACCAAAGAGGTTTGGCTAGGCAGCCCAGTCCTTGAAGTCTTGCCTTTCCTTCCATCCCAGAGTAGTGTGCATCCTATTCTGCTATGGGCTGCCCCTGGGAAGGCACTGAGTGTGACTGTGTGTGAGTGGGACAGTGTGGGACTACTGGGAAGATAAGTCTGATAAAAACTACTCCATTATCGGAGCCTGTTCTCTTTCTTTCAGGCTCACTTATGTTACAGAACTAATTTCTTACAATTAAAAATGAGAGATTATTTGACGAGTAAACAAAGAAACTAAATTCAAAGATTGGGTCATACTCGTAAGTCAGGATAATAAGGATTATAACTTATAAGTTGCATAAAGATTATTTAGAAAGAAGTTGTGTCAGCTGGGTGCAGTGGCTCACACCTGTAATCCCAGCACTTTGGGAGGCCAAGGTGGGTGGACCACCAGAGGTCAGGAGTTCGAGACTAGCCTGGCCAATATTGTGAAACCCCGTCTCTACTAAAAATATTTTTAAAATTAGCCAGGCATGGTGGTGGGAGCCTGCAATCCCAGCTACTTGGGAGGCTGAGGCAGGAGAATCGCTTGAACCCAGGAGGCAGAGGTTGTAGTGAGCTGAGATCATGCCCCTGCACTCCAGCCTGGGCAACAAGAGCAAAACTCCGCCTCAAAAAAAAAAAAAAGAAAAGAAAGAAGTTGTGTCTTTCATATATAGTAAATAACCAAAATATTAGTATGTCTGCTAGATAATATTCTATTGAAATCAAGGAATACAATATAATGTATAATATATAATCATCTAAGTGTGAGTGGAGCTGAGTAAATGGAGGGCTGAGTGACAAATCAAAGGGTAGCCAAGTTTCATACCATGGATGGACTGCCAGAGGAGTCTAACAAGCCCCAAAGTCATATGCAAAATTTGATTATGCCTTTTCCTGGATGAAGCATCCATAAAGCGTTCAGAATCTCAAAGAGAACCTCTGACCACCACCCCCAACCCTACCCTTATGGACTGCTATTTTAGAGGTTACTCACTTGTACAGACATTGAGTTCCTTGTGCGAATTCTGTCTTAGTGATTTCACTAAAGTTGTTCCTGCTGCTTTTGCTAGTGCTGATCTAGGCCTTGACCTTTTGAAACTTAGAGAAACTTTTGCAGTGGGGATCCGCCATCTTGTCTAGCCACCATCCAGGACACAGACATGGCTTCCGTTCGTGAGTCTCTATTAAATGTTTCTTTCTAAGAAACTGGATTTGTCATCCTCTTTCTTTAGCCTGTCAGCTGCCATGGACTTGGGGGTAGGTTTGCATAGACCTGGCTACCACGAAACATGTGGGGAGCCAGATCAGGAGCTGAAAGACCAAGAAATGAGCAAAGGGAATGAAGCATCCATGGGGGAGGTCCTAGGTGGCTGTCACTTCCTGGAATGGTGTGACTCACCTTTCAGACACTTACGCATGAGTACGGGACACGTCAAAAACATAGGCACGTTTAGAGCGACTGTCAGCGGAAAGCTGTCCATCACATGCACTAAGGAAGGGCAGCTGCTGCAGTGGATGGCTGCTTCTGTGAGGTGCTCTTTTGACAATGAGAGCCCTGCTAGCATCAGAAGCAAAAGTAAAACGGTTTGAGTAGGAATTACAACTAGGAAAAAATTTTTTTTGGCCGGGCGCTGTGGCTGACGCCTGTAATCCCAGCACTTTGGGAGGCCGAGGCGGGCAGATCACGAGGTCAGGAGATCGAGATCACCCTGGCTGACACGGTGAAACCCCGTCTCTACTAAAAATACAAAAAATTAGCGGGGCGTGGCGGCAGGCGCCAGTAGTCCCAGCTACTCGGGAGGCTGAGGCAGGAGAATGGCGTGAACCCAGGAGGGGGAGCTTGCAGTGAGCTGAGATCACGCCATTGCATTCCAGCCTGGGCGACAGAGTGAGATTCCGGCTCAAAAAAAAAAAAAGATTTTTTTTTAAGAGCTCTATAGTCAAAAGTCAACTTAGTGAAAACTGGTATTTGGGGTATATATGTATAACTTAGTGAAAACTAGTATTTGGGGTATATAGGTATACACGTGTTGTTATAAGGCCTCTGTTTTTTCTCTGTTAAACTCTGTCAACTGAATTCTGTTTCTCCATTTGCTTCTGCCTGTCCCTCTTTTTTCTTGCCACTCTCAATGCCACATAAAAGACCTAAAAAAAAAGGAATTTCTGACAGCCTAGACTCCCTTGGGAGAAAACAGAAAACGCACCACAGACTCCTTTTTGCGAGGAGCCTCTGTTTTTCTTAATGGAACCCCAAGAGTTGCATAGCAGACATTCTTTCCAGGTCTAAAACTCTTCTCTCTTTTGTATTGTGTTATCTGATTTCTTTGGCTTTTGCGGGGATGTGAGTGTTCTGCCTTCCAATAAATATTAGGCCCTAAAAAACTGCATACTTTTTTAGCCCTTTTCCTTAAAGGGCTCCACTCTAAAGTCAGTAATTGAATTAAGAAACAAACTGGCCAGACGCAGTGGCTCACGCCTGTAATCCCAGCAATTTGGGAGGCCAAGGCAGGAAGATTGCTAGAAGTCAAGAATTCAAGACCACCCTGAGGAACAAAATGAGACCACATCTCTACACAAAATGTAAAAATTAACTGGGCTTAGTGGTGCGTGCCTGTAGTGCCAGCTATTCAGGAGGCTGGGGTGGGAGGATCACTTAACTAAGTTCAAGGCTATAGTGAGCTATGATCACACCACTGCACTACAGCGTGGGTGACAGAGCAAGACCTTATCTCAGAAAACAAAACAAAACAAAAAAAGAAAAAAGAAACTAAACTGAAAATAAGATGTGTCATATGCATGTGATATTTCACTGCCAAAATATATGAAAGAACTCAGAAAAAAATAGAAATGGCTTTTAGCTGCTGTGACTTTAGTAATCTTTGGTAAATGAAACTAGTTTCCAAATGTTTTTCAGTAACTTAAAATCTTAAAGTCATATTATATTAAATAGTCATAGGTTATTCACTGGAAATTGGGGTTACTAAGAGTTAAAATAGTAGTTAATCCATGTAATTAAAACTACTAGATATAATTCTATATACAGAATGTATAAAGAAAGATGTGCTTTGGTAAAGAAGGTTATAAAGGAACACAGATGTATGGTTTTGGCTTAAAGGAAAAATAATTTTGCCTAGTTTAGAGTTTATTTAAAGGTTGTTTCAAAAAGAAGGAGAAATGATATGATATGGAGAATGAGGAGCTTTTGATTCCTAGCTGGCCACATGGTCACCCCGGTATGGCGCAGCAGCTGTGCGGCATTCAGTTACTAAAGGTAAAAGTTAGCAGAAGAATTCAGGGATGGATCAAACTCTGGGAAGCTGGTTCTCTGACTGCATTAGGAAAGGCACACAAAGAAGCAGAAAGTGAAATATTTAATTCCTGTTATTGTTATCTCTAATAGCTGAAATGAAATTAAAAGAGAGCACTGGGTTGGGTCTTGAGGCTGAACCAAGCTCAGATGTGAGTCTGTCTGAGCTCTGGCTCCTAGCCTCAAAACTACCCATGAAGGGGAAAATTATGGCAGGGACAAAAGAAAGTACCTCTGAGACCTATGGTTACCATGAAAGTACTCAGGACTTCAAGGCTACAGTGAACCATGATTACACCACTGCACTGTAGCCTGGGTGACAGAGCGAGACCCCATCTCTGAAAAAAAAAACAAAAACAAAACAAAAACAAAAAACACAAAGAAAGAAGAAAAAAAAGCTCAGTTGAAAACAACATGTCATGTGTATATAATGTGTATGTATGTGAGTATCTGATATTTCATGTGAGGGAAGGGCAAAACCAAGTAACGACTGAAACCAGAAGGTATAATGTGAAAGAACTGGTCTATTTTGAAGATCGGTATTATCCGCTTCCTAAGGAACTGAAATGGATTGTGAGAGTAATAATTTAGGGGCCGTATCTTTGGTTTTAAATGCTGCAGAGTAGAAGAGCCTGTTTGGGTTGATGCAGGACCCACAGTTCACTATTGGACAATCACAGGTGGCTATAAATAATCCAGACACAGGAGGCTACTCCAGAGGCAATAGCTGGCCTGATGGACTGGGTAAAAGACATTTGTAAGGTCTGTGTATCCTGAGAAGGGGGATTTCCCAACTTTCCCTATAAATGCCCAATTGAGCACCCTAGATGAAGCAACTGATATGCTTTGTATGCAAGCCAGGTGGAACTGGCTTTATGATGACAAGGATATTCACCTGCTGAATATGCCCTTTACCCAGGTCATGTCAAGTACTGTAGTTAAGGGGTCCCCTCCTGCACGGGCACACCATTGCTGCTACAAACTGAAAGACAGTTAAGGAAGCTGTATCAAATGTGCTGGTTTAACTTCCCCTCATCTGTTTTACAGACACTAATAAAAACATTAGGATAATTAACAACAGCATGGGGAAAAGCAAAATATAAATATATAATCCAAGGACTCATCCTAGGAAGGTGAAACATTTTAACTGCTTATTAAAAAGTAAGGTTTTTTTTAAAAAAAAAAAGTTGATAGGGGTAAAACTAAGAGAAAAAAGAAGGGGAGGGTCATGGGACCCATCCCAGCAGGTTGGGAATCTTTAGTTGGTTATTAAGAAATGGAATGAAATAAATGGAAATTTATGAGGTAAAACAAAGACCTTAACACACTATCAAAGGTTGAGTGGACCAAAGAGAGCCCCTGCTGGGCCCCCAATATTAGAGAGCCTCAAACCAATTTTCTATGTTTACCCCAGATTGGAGAAATATTTAAAAAAAAAAAAATCAGAAGGCAAAGGTTACAGTAAGAAAGCTGACCAACAACTACCTGGGCCAGTGTTGAGGCAGGTAAATCAAAACAAAGATTGACAAAAGGGCCTGAGTTCCCTAGCTCAATCCCTTGCTGGGAACCCAAATCCTTTTTCATCAGAGGGTAAAATGGGAGTGGAAAAGAGAAGTTCCTGGAAACAGAAGATAAAAATTTAGGGTTGATAAAAGTTGAAATGTTTAAACAGGCTTTATGTAAAGTAGTTGGGTATTCTTTAACTAAACCTTTTATGAAAACAGATGCTGTATCTAACCAGGGAACGCTTCCCCTACCTAGTACTGTAAACAAAGAAGGCATGTCAATCTTCCCTTTGAGCAATATTAATTGGACATGCTAAATGGGAATTAAGACTGCCTGAGCCTACAGAGTGTAGAGTAGAAGCTGGAGTGTTGGTCAAAATGAATTCTCCACCAAATAGCTGTTTGTGGAGCATTTACTGGGGCTTATGGCAGAAGTTTGTGAGCCCCTCTCAACAATGACTACTGGCACTTTGGACTAGAGAATTTCCACTTGGGGGGCATTTACTGCCTTGCTATGGGACATTAAATGAAGCTACTCCTGTGCTAATGGGGATAGCAATGGCCAAAAGAGTTCCATGAGAAAATGCAAGTGGTTTATAAGATCTTGCTACCTGGGAAGTGCAAGGAAGTGACAGTCATAAGCAGAAAGCCTTTTCCACAGGACTAACTGTGGAACTGTGTGAGGAGCCACTGGATTCCACAGTGCCTGATAAACAGGTCTCACTTGACTGACAAAGAGCTGCTTGATTTGTGGATGGCAGTTCCCAGGTGAATGGACAACATTCTGTTTGGAAGGCTGCTACTCCAAATGACGAAGAATCAAGGAAATCTTTCTTTCTTTTGAGCTATTTATAGCTTAGAGAATGTTAAAGCAAACTAGATATGGCCTGAGAAGCACTCCATACTTCTATATTTGAGTCCTTATGGATGAACTGCAACCTAGCTTAATAGGTAGACAAGATTGAAAACCTAACTTAGGAGTATGCACCTGTAACAGTCACTGAGTCTTGGCCAATCCCAGCAGCCGTAATTCAACCACGCACACACTGCTGAGTGTTCCAGTTGTGTTCAAATAAGGCAACTGCAGAGCTGTAACCAATCCAATTGTTTTGGTACCTCACTTCTGATTTCTGTACATCACTTCCCTTTTTTTTTGTCTATAAATTTGTTCTGACCACGAGGTATCCCTGGAGTCTCTCTGAAACTGCTGTGATTCTGGGGGCTGCCTGATTCGCAAATCTTTCATTGTTCAATTAAACACTAATTTAATTCAGCTGAAGTTTTTATTGTACCAAGAAGTTGAGTATTTTTTCAAATACTCAAAAAGAGCAAAATTTACCTTTTTCTCTACCTGAGTTCTCCAAAATTTGGAAACTATTCAGGAGTATTCTTATTTTGTGGCAATCTAGTTATTTGCATAAATTCAGTAAGAATGTGTTTTCTTTTATAATGGAACACAATTGGAGACACTGGTTATTTTTCCAAGGCTTTGACTGGAATAGCATATTTTCAGATATTATCAGATTGCTTTTAGGAATTGAAGTCAACTTTATAGAGCCAATAAAAAGCCCCTTGGAAAGACTAGCCTGGTATCTTGTTTAAATTGTTCCATTACAAGGTTCCTGATCTGTGGTAAGTAAAGAATGTCACTTTCTGGCTGGGCGTGGTGGCTCACGCCTGTAATCCCAACACTTTGGGAGGCCAAGACAGGCAGATCATTTGAGGTCAGGAGTTTAAGACCAGCCTGGCCAGCATGGTGAAACCCCATCTCTACTAAAAATACAAAAATTAGCCAGGTGTAGGGGCAGGCGCCTGTAATCCCAGCTACTCAGGAGGCTGAGGCAGGAGAACCACTTGAACCAGGGAGGCAGAGGGTGCAGTGAGCCAAGATCACGCCACTACACTCCAACCTGGGCAACAGAGCAAGACTCTGTCTCAAAGAAAAAAAAGAATGTCACTTTCTAACAGGCTCAGGAACCTCAAGATATTTTGGGACCTTGAGAAGAGAGGCATTACAAGCACAGTTTGATGGCAAATCCTTGGCTTGGCTTCTTGCCTTGAGGCTTTTAAAAAGTCAAATCTGAAATTTCTTATAAGAGTTCCAGCAAAGCCAACTTAAAAAGAGCCTATGTGGCCCATCAGTATTCTTGCTACACTTTACACAAATAATCAGGCCAAGTATAATAAAACTAAAATTTATTGTGAAAATAAATTTGTCCTAATATGGTTTATCCTTGGTAGAAATGGGGAAACTATAGAGAGAAAAACTTAGATGCTAGCCCTAATCATTGTTTTGGAGTTATCAGTTGCCTAAAATTTGAGCTAATCCTGAATTATTTTTTGACTGCAACAAATCTCTAAAGAAGAACTGGATTTTAATTTTCTTCACGATGCCTTTAGTTGGCTTCTTAATGGAATAGGTTCTTTTGTGTTTTTGTTTTTCTGGCATTCTAATTCTTTTTTTTTTTTTTTTTTTTTTTTTTTTTTTTTTTGAGACAGAGTCTCACTCTGTTGCCCAGGCTGGAATGCAGTGGCACAATCTCAGCTCACTGCAACCTCCACCTCCTGGGTTGAAGAAATTCTCATGCCTCAACTTACCAAGGAGCTGGGATTACATGTGTGTACCACCATGCTCAGCTAATTTTTGGCATTTTTATTAGAGATGGGGTCTCGCCATGTTGGCCAAGCTGGTCTCAAACTCCTGGCCTTAAGTGATCCGCACACCTCGGCCTCCCAAAGTGCTGGAATTACAGACATGAGCCACCACACCTGGCCTCAAATTCTCTTTTGATTTTAATCCTGGTATGCATTATAATTCTACTACTCAAATTATTAATATCTCTCTCGTTGTTTTACTTCTTCTGAGAAAACTGAAGTCACAGTATTTCAAAAACTGGAGATGATTCAACAAAGCCTGGGAATCTCCCTCATTTGGAATCTCAGTTGGCCTGCTCTGTTTTCCATTGCCAACATACTACTGCTAAACCTATACCATATCAAGCATCTTCCCTAAAGGCTCAGGGACCATCACAGAAGAGGAAGGCAGATGAAACTGTAAGAGCTGAATTAGGGGATGGAGTGTGGAAGCCAAAGCCACTCCATCTTGGATGCTAATCTACCATATTGACTTCTGATTAACCCCAGTTCCAGGAAGACCTCTAAAATTTCCAGTTTATCTCTTGTTCCTTGTGTAAGAGTAGGTACTTACCATAAATTCTGCCCTTGGGTGAAATGACCTTGATGTTCTTGTACTTCAACTGTCCTACACATCCCTTCTGAAACAACATTTCCCTAGGTTATGTAAGTCCTGGGTCTGGGGGTTTACAGTGCGGAGATCCACGATTTTGTCTCACAGCTGCCTGGCACACAGACATGTCTTCTGTTCATAAGTCCTTATTACATCTTTCCAAGAAAAAAGAAAAAAAAAGCTTCTACAATCCTTAAAGTCACCCTCAAAGGAGGAAAATATGAAGAAGAGGGAATTTGCCACATATCCACATTAAAAGCCATAAAATATGTTCAGTTTATCTGTATATATAATTTATGTTGTACCAGCTTCCACAGCAGCTAGTTCTTTAAAATATTCCATTCTTTTAGCACTTAGGTGTGTTCATTTGATCACCTTACTTTCAGGCATGGATATTTCCATCATTTGTTCATTTTAAATAACAGTCTTTGAAAATAGAAACAAGCACCTCCACCACCCCCCACCCCCACTGCCACTGTCCATTTCTTTTTTCCTGGGTTGCAATAACCAAGAGGGAGTTATGTCTACTTTAATAGTATATATAGAGGTAGATACAGATTTTGTGGAGCCTGAGGCTTATACAGTTTTGGGCTTCTCTTTTTTTAAAAAAAGAATAAATATTATGAATACCATAAAGGACTCTCTCTGGGCCTTGGGTAAGTGAGGGGCCCCAGAGGCTAAGTGTCATTAGCATCATCCCGTGAGAATACATTCACGAGGAGAACAAACCTGGTTAACTTTTTAAGGTTGGGGTTAGGGGTTAATCTTGGCCATTTTGCTTTAATTTGAAAATACGTCTGACCTTTAGAAAAGGTACCTGGCTTTTCTAACTGATTTTTCTTTTAAAATCATTTTTTCAACATGAACTTGAGAGATGCTATGGTTTGAATGTATGTGTTCCACTAAAATTTATTAGAAGCTCAGTGAGCAAAATTCTTTCTCCTTCAAACGCTCTAGAAACTACAGAAAAGAACAGTTGAGTCTTACATTGATATGGAATACAGTTTTCTACCTAATGCAGAAACCTCCTCTATACAATCTTGGAAAGTGATCATCTATCCCTTTATTCGTAGTATTCAAAATTCCATTTCCTTAATTCATAAAATTCAAAAAACATCTGAGGATCTATCACACATGAAGCAGTCTTCTGTGTGTCAATGTACAGTGGTGAACGTGAAGTACACAACTTCCTTCTCATAGGATTTCATTCTAGTGAGGGGAAGAAAAAGGACAAAGAGGAAAAGTCAAAGAAAGTCATTTTGGATCATGATAAATGCTCTGAACGAGGGCTGGGAGATGCCCTTAGAGGAAATGGTATGTAGACTGAAAAATGAGAATATGAAATATCATGGGAACAAGATTCAAAGCCAGTGTGATAGCCCTGAGACAGGAATGAGCTTCACATATTAAAGTGAAGGGATGCCAGGGAGCCACAGATCAAGTCTCCCCTGGAGCATTAGAAGTGTGTGGGGGCACGTGATAGCAAGGGGGTGTTGCTGGTATTTTGTGAACAGGGGCAAGGGATGCTAAATATCTAGCAGTATTTGAAAAAGCTCCAGAAGGAATTTTCCCAACCAAAATACCAGCACCTCCGTCAAGCAGCCCTGACAGAGAATAGTGAGTATAGAGAAATTGATAGACAGGAGGTCAGAGAGCTAGACAGGAGACACATTAGATAGGGCTTCAGGGCCACAGTAAAAGTTTAGATCGTTATCAGAAGTGTGACAGAAATCATTAAATGCCTAGTAAGCACAGAAATGTTTTTGTAAGTTCTGGGGACAGAAACATAATGCCTTCATACAGCATTCTATTCCACCTTGGAGTCCAGATTTTTTGTTTGTTTGTTTGTTTTTATTTTTTATAGAGACAGGGTCTTGCTATGTTGCTCAGGCTGGTCTTAAACTTGGAGTCCGGATTCTTAGAGGATTCCTTTTACAATTAGCTTAAGTCAGACTCTTTGTAATTTCCACTTAAATCTCTAGTACCACAAAAGAAAGCCCCAGAAAATGTCTTTTCCATCTTTGTTTTCATCTCCACCTTCACACTCCACTACAACCCAGTCTCTAGGACCAGATCTATGCTTAGTAGAGGGAATTCCGCAATTCACTCCATTCATAGTGTTACTGAAACACCCAGGGGTTCCATCTAGGTCTTGTTGCTCACCACACAGACAACCAATCACTGAGACAAAATGAGTATTGCCAAGGAAGAAGACTTTATTTGGATACTGCAGCCAAGGAGATGGGAGATCAGTCTCAAATCCATTTCTTCAACCAACTAGAATTAGGGGTTTATATAGCAGGGAAGAATGGCAATCACATGCAGGTTAACAGAAATTAGGGTGGGGTAAGGATATCATGAGGGATAAAGGGTCTGATTTCTCATTATCTGGATGTGGTGGTCTGGTGAGTTTCAGTTCCTTGATACCATCTGGGAGGCCTGAGGGCTGGTTTCCTCAAGAAGGAACTCAGATAAGACAAAGATAATTTTATCAAGTTTTAAGACTGGGAAAGTCCATTTCTATGTTTATTCAAAAAAAAACCCATAAACATCAGTTCTATGGGACAACTGGGCAGGTTTCAACAGGTCCGTGTCTCAAGTGAAAATGGGATGTTTTTCCTACTTCCTTGTTTCCTTCTTTTCCTCCATTGCTGTCCCTAGTTCTTAGTCACTGCCTGCTAGAACTCAGTCCCCACATTGTATTCCAGATGACTACTTCTACTTGAATTGAGGGTCCACAATTGACAACTGTCAGGAACCCCAATTCTCCTAAGAGTAGACCCTACTTAGTTTTGGTTTTACTTTCAGCATTCAAGTCCTGCCCCTGAACCCTAGGCCCACAGCAGATGTTCTGTTACTTCCAGGCAGACTTTCCTAATACCCACCATATGACTACCTGGCTGCAAATCCACATATCACCTTGTTGCCAGACATGTCTGTATTCATGCTGTGCCCATCTGCTGAGACACCCAGAAGGGAAGCAGGCTGTTGTAACAAGAGCAGTGATTTAGGTGTTAATTCTAATACAACAGTTTACTAACTGGAAATTTTCTAAAATCTCTTAGAGCTTTGGTTTTCTAAAGCGGTGATGATGGTGATGATAATAATTCCTCCCTCAAAGCTCTGTAATGAATAAATGAACATGATGTAGGCGTTCCAATATAACTAATGTGATCATCTTTATTTATAATTGCTGGACCTCCCTAATCAAAGCCAAAAGCTGCCACTTATCATGAGGTGCACTGGATTCTGTGACCTCATTGTCCTTTTTCTTCCTAAACCTCTGCTGCATGCTATTCAGTGTGCCCATTTATGGTTCTGGTCCCCTGTCTTTGAAGATGTGAGCTTTAAGCCAGGACTCAATAGCCTTGCTACTGAGTTAACCAAGAAACAAAAGAGACTATTGAGCAGGAAACGGTGGGTGTACACAGAAAGAGGTAGATGCTTAGAGGTATTCTTGGAATGCTAAAAAGGTAGAGTAATCGCTGAGGGTAAAGCTAAATGGGGGGTTGAGAAGGAGAAAATAGCAGGGAGTGGGAAGGGAGAACAAAGCAACTCTTATCCTCAATTATCCCGGCAGTTCTGGGCTTGGCTACATTAGCAAGATTCTTGTTTAGATCCTCATTTTGCTTTGGCTGTAGAGGCCTCTTCTGGTGGGATTTCAGGGTATTTTATAACCCATCATCCCACCCCTCTCTCCTGTGGTTTTAACTGATGTGGAGGAAGGGAACTATTTAGTGAAATTAGGTCCTTTCAATATAACACAGCTGCTTTTCTTCATAGAGATTTACTTTTGACAAGTAATTTATATTGCTTTCAATTACTATGGCATACTACTGGGGGCTAGGGGAGGAAGGAATTGGAGACAAGATTGCTTGGGAGTGTTTTAATGTAGTTTGTTGTAACAGGTGGCCTGAAGAACTGCTGATTTGAAGCTATGCCACAGCTGTGCTTAGCTGGCTTGACTGCTGCAGAAACCTAACTGAGCCTGGACCCGGGTTAACACAGGTGCACAGAGTGAACAGCTGTCTCTTTTTTTAATTAGGGGAAGGAAGTGAGCACAGATTTGAAAAATAATATTATAAGAACCAGAGTGCAAAGGGATGATTTACTTCCACTTCATTTTATTATTTGTTATAAATGGTTTATAAAAACACACTGAGTGAATTTAATAATGCCTCTTTGCAGGGTTTTCTCCAGCGTCGCTGACTAGTGCTTCTCATACTTTAATGTGCATACAAGTCACCTGGGGATCTTGTTAAAATGCAGCTTCTGATTGAGTAGGTTTGGAGTGAGCCAAAGATTCTGCATTTCTAACAGGCTCTAGGTAACACCAGGTCTGCTGTTTTGGGAGGACACACTGAGTAGAAGACTGTCAACTACACAGCACTTCAGAATACTAAATTTGTAAAAAAAACAAAGTTACACTGTCAAATGTTAGAAATGGTCTCTTAGTAGGGGATGAAAGTAAACTACCTACTGATGAGGTCTTAAAGGAAATTGAATGACTAAAAAAGTCATTAATATTAATTATTTTAAATTGCTCATTTGACCTCTTAGATTCTGATCTTACACCACAGGCTTAAAAGTACTCTTTACAATTGGTTGAGGGAGCCAAGATGGCCGAATAGGAACAGCTTCGGTCTACAGCTCCCAGCGTGAGCAATGCAGAAGACGGGTGATTTCTGCATTTCCATCTGAGGTACCGGGTTCATCTCACTAGGGAGTGCCAGACAGTCGGCGCAGGACAGTGGGTGCAGTGCACTGTGTGCGAGCCGAAGCAGGGCGAGGCATTGCCTCACTCGGGAAGCGCAAGGGGTCAGGGAGTTCCCTTTCCTAGTCAAAGAAAGGGGTGACAGACGGCACCTGGAAAATCGGGTCACTCCCACCCTAATACTGTGCTTTTCCGACGGGCTTAAAAAACGGCGCACCAGGAGATTATATCCCACACGTGGCTCAGAGGGTCCTACGCCCACAGAGTCTTGCTCATTGCTAGCACAGCAGTCTGAGATCAAACTGCAAGGCAGCAATGAGGCTGGGGGAAGGGCGCCCGCCATTGCCCAGGCTTGCTTAGGTAAACAAAGCAGCCGGGAAGCTCGAACTGGGTGGAACCCACCACAGCTCAAGGAGGCCTGCCTGCCTCTGTAGGCTCCACCTCTGGGGGCAGGGCACAGACAAACAAAAAGACAGCAGTAACCTCTGCAGACTTAAATGTCCCTGTCTGACAGCTTTGAAGAGAGCAGTGGTTCTCCCAGCACGCAGCTAGATATCTGAGAAGGGGCAGACTGCCTCCTCAAGTGGGTCCCTGACCCCTGACCCCCGAGCAGCCTAACTGGGAGGCACCCCCCAGTAGGGGCAGACTGACACCTCACACGGCCGGGTACTCCTCTGAAACAAAACTTCCAGAGGAACGATCAGACAGCAGCATTCGCGGTTCATGAAAACCCGCTGTTGTGCAGCCACCGCTGCTGTTACCCAGGCAAACAGGGTCTGGAGTGGACCTCTAGCAAACTCCAACAGACCTGCAGCTGAGGGCCCTGTCTGTTAGAAGGAAAACTAACAAACAGAAAGGACATCCACACCAAAAACCCATCTGTACGTCACCACCATCAAAGACCAAAAGTAGATAAAACCACAAAGACAGGGAAAAAACAGAGCAGAAAAACTGGAAACTCTAAAAAGCAGAGTGCCTCTCCTCCTCCAAAGGAACACAGCTCCTCACCAGCAACGGAACAAAGCTGGACGGAGAATGACTTTGACTAGTTGAGAGAAGAAGGCTTCAGACAATCAAACTACTCTGAGCTACAGGAGGAAATTCAAACCAATGGCAAAGAAGTTAAAAACTTTGAAAAAAAATTAGACGAATGGATAACTAGAATAACCAATGCAGAGAAGTCCTTAAAGGAGCTGATGGAGCTGAAAGCCAAGGCTTGAGAACTATGTGAAGAATGCAGAAGCCTCAGGAGCCGATGCGATCAACTGGAAGAAAGGGTATCAGTGATGGAAGATGAAATGAATGAAATGAAGCGAGAAGGCAAGATTAGAGAAAAAAGAATAAAAAGAAACGAACAAAGCCTCCAAGAAATATGGGACTATGTGAAAAGACCAAATCTACATCTGATTGGTGTACCTGAAAGTGACGGGGAGAATGGAACCAAGTTGGAAAACACTCTGCAGGATATTATCCAGGAGAACTTCCCCAATCTAGCAAGGCAGGTCAACATTCAGATTCAGGAAATACAGAGAACGCCACAAAGATATGCCTCGAGAAGAGCAACTCCAAGAAACATAATTGTCAGATTCACCAAAGTTGAAATGAAGGAAAAAATGATAAGGGCAGCCAGAGAGAAAGGTCGGGTTACCCACAAAGGGAAGCCCATCAGACTAACAGCGGATCTCTTGGCAGAAACTCTACAAGCCAGAAGAGAGTGGGGGCCAATATTCAACATTCTTAAAGAAAAGAATTTTCAACCCAGAATTTCATATCCAGCCAAACTAAGCTTCATAAGTGAAGGAGAAATAAAATCCTTTACAGACAAGCAAATGCTGAGAGATTTTGTCACCACCAGGCCTGCCCTAAAAGACCTCCTGAAGGAAGCACTAAACATAGAAAGGAACAACTGGTAGCAGCCACTGCAAAAACATGCCAAAATGTAAAGACCATCAAGGCTAGGAAGAAAACTGCATCAACTAACGAGCAAAATAACCAGCTAACATCATAATGACAGGACCAAATTCACACATAACAATATTAACTTTAAATGTAAATGGGCTAAATGCTCCAATTAAAAGACACAGAGTGGCAAAGTGGATAAATGGTCAAGACCCATCAGTGTGCTGTATTCAGGAAACCCATCTCATGTGCAGAGACACATATAGGCTCAAAATAAAGGGATGGAGGAAGATCTACCAAGCAAATGGAAAACAAAAAAAGGCAGGGGTTGCAATCCTAGTCTCTGATAAAACAGACTTTAAACCAACAAAGATCAAAAGAGACAAAGAAGGCCATTACATAATGGTAAAGGGATCAATTCAACAAGAAGAGCTAACTATCCTAAATATATATGCACCCAATACAGGAGCACCCAGATTCATAAAGCAAGTCCTGAGTGACCTACAAAGAGACTTAGACTCCCACACAATAATAATGGGAGACTTTAACACCCCACTGTCAACATTAGACAGATCAATGAGACAGAAAGTTAACAAGAATACCCAGGAATTGAACTCAGCTCTGCACCAAGCAGACCTAATAGACATCTACAGAACTCTCCACCCCAGATCAACAGAATATACACTTTTCTTAGCACGACACCACACCTATTCCAAAATTGACCACATAGTTGGAAGTAAAGCTCTCCTCAGCAAATGTAAAAGAACAGAAATTATAACAAACTGTCTCTCAGACCACAGTGCAATCAAACTAGAACTCAGGATTAAGAAACTCACTCAAAACCGCTCAACTACATGGAAACTGAGCAACCTGCTCCTGAGTGACTACTGGGTACGTAACGAAATGAAGGCAGAAATAAAGATGTTCTTTGAAACCAATGAGAACAAAGACACAACATACCAGAATCTCTGGGACTCATTCAAAGCAGTGTGTAGAGGGAAATTTATAGCACTAAATGCCCACAAGAGAAAGCAGGAAAGATCCAAAATTGACACCCTAACATCACAATTAAAAGAACTAGAAAAGCAAGACCAAACACATTCAAAAGCTAGCAGAAGGCAAGAAATAACTAAAATCAGAGCAGAACTGAAGGAAATAGAGACACAAAAAACCCTTCAAAAAATTAATGAATCCAGGAGCTGGTTTTTTGAAAAGATCAACAAAATTGATAGACTGCTAGAAAGACTAATAAAGAAGAAAAGAGAGAAGAATCAAATAGACACAATAAAAAATGATAACGGGGATATCAACACTGATCCCACAGAAATACAAACTACCATCAGAGAATACTACAAACACCTCTACGCAAATAAACTAGAAAATCTAGAAGAAATGGATAAATTCCTCGACACATACACCCTCCCAAGAGTAAACCAGGAAGAAGTTGAATCTCTGAATAGACCAATAACAGGATCTGAAATTGTGGCAATAATTAATAGCTTACCAACCAAAAAAAGTCCAGGACCAGATGGATTCACAGCCAAATTCTATCAGAGGTACAAGGAGGAATTGGTACCGTTCCTTCTGAAACTATTCCAATCAATAGAAAAAGAGGGAATCCTCCCTAACTCATTTTATGAAGCCAGCATCATCCTGATACCAAAGCCGGGCAGAGACACAACCAAAAAAGAGAATTTTAGGCCAATATCTTTGATGAACATTGATGCAAAAATCCTCAATAAGATACTGGCAAACTGAATCCAGCAGCACATCAAAAAGCTTATCCACCATGATCAAGTGGGCTTCATCCCTGGGATGCAAGACTGGTTCAATATACGAAAATCAATAAATGTAATCCAGCATATAAACAGAACCAAAGACAAAAACCACATGATTAGCTCAATAGATGCAGAAAAGGCCTTTGACAAAATTCAACAACGCTTCATGCTAAAAACTCTCAATAAATTAGGTATTGATGGAATGTATCTCAAAATAATAAGAGCTGTCTGTGACAAACCCCCAGCCAATATCATACTGAATCGGCAAAAACTGGAAGCATTCCCTTTGAGAACTGGTACAAGACAGGGATGCCCTCTCTCACCACTCCTATTCAACATAGTGTTGGAAGTTCTGGCCAGGGCAATTAGGCAGGAGAAGGAAATAAAGGGTATTCAATTAGGAAAAGAGGAAGTCAAATTGTCCCTGTTTGCAGATGACATGATTGTATATCTAGAAAACCCCATTGTCTCAGCCCAAAATCTCCTTAAGCTGATAAGCAACTTCAGTAAAGTCTCAGGATACAAAATCAATGTACAAAAATCACAAGCATTCTTATACACCAATAATAGACAAACAGAGAGCCAAATCATGAGTGAACTCCCATTCACAATTGCTTCAAAGAGAATAAAATACCTAGGAATCCAATTTACAAGGGATGTGAAGGACCTCTTCAAGGAGAACTACAAACCACTGCTCAATGAAATAAAAGAGGATACAAACAAACAGAAGAACATTCCATGCTCATGGGTAGGAAGAATCAATATCGTGAAAATGGTCATACTGCCCAAGGTAATTTACAGATTCAATGCCATCCCCATCAAGCTACCAATGACTTTCTTCACACAATTGGAAAAAACTACTTTAAAGCTCATATGGAACCAAAAAAGAGCCCGCATTGCCAAGTCAATCCTAAGCCAAAAGAACAAAGCTGGCGGCATCACGCTACCTGACTTCAAACTATACTACAAGGCTACAGTAACCAAAACAGCATGGTACTGGTACCAAAACAGAGATATAGATCAATGGAACAGAACAGAGCCCTCAGAAATAATGCCGCATATCTACAACCATCTGATCTTTGACAAACCTGAGAAAAACAAGCAATGGGGAAAGGATTCCCTATTTAATAAATGGTGCTGGGAAAACTGGCTAGCCATATGTAGAAAGCTGAAACTGGATCCCTTCCTTACACCTTATACAAAAATTAATTCAAGATGGGTTAAAGACTTACATGTTAGACTTAAAACCATAAAAACCCTAGAAGAAAACCTAGGCAATACCATTCAGGACATAGGCATGGACAAGGACTTCATGTCTAAAACACCAAAAGCAATGGCAACAAAAGCCAAAATAGACAAATGGGATCTAATTAAACTAAAGAGCTTCTGCACAGCAAAAGAAACTACCATCAGAGTGAACAGGCAACCTACAAAATAGGAGAAAATTTTCGCAACCTACTCATCTGACAAAGGGCTAATATCCAGAATCTACCATGAACTCAAACACATTTACAAGAAAAAAACAAACAACCCCTACATAAAGTGGGCGAAGGACATGAACAGACACTTCTCAAAAGAAGACATTTATGCAGCCAATAAACACATGAAAAAATGCTCATCATCACTGGCCATCAGAGAAATGCAAATCAAAACCACACTGAGATACTATCTCACACCAGTTGGAATGGCGATCAGTAAAAAGTCAGGAAACAACAGGTGCTGGAGAGGATGTGGAGAAATAGGAACACTTTTACACTGTTGGTGGGACTGTAAACTAGTTCAACCATTGTGGAAGTCAGTGTGGCGATTCCTCAGGGATCTAGAACTAGAAATACCATTTGACCCAGCCATCCCATTACTGGGTATATACCCAAAGGATTATAAATCATGCTGCTATAAAGACACATGCACATGTATGTTTATTGCGGCACTATTCACAATAGCAAAGACTTGGAACCAACCCAAATGTCCGACAACGATAGACTGGATTAAGAAAATGTGGCACATATACACCATGGAATACTATGCAGCCATAAAACATGATGAGTTCATGTCCTTTGTAGGGACATGGATGAAACTGGAAACCATCATTCTCAGCAAACTATCGCAAGGACAAAAAACCAAACACCGCATGTTCTCACTCATTGGTGGGAATTGAACAATAAGAACACATGGACACAGGAAGGGGAACATCACACTCCAGGGACTGTTGTGGGGTGGGGGGAGGGGGGAGGGATAGCATTAGGAGATATGCCTAATGCTAAATGACGAGTTAATAGGTGCAGGACACCAACATGGCACATGTATACATATGTAACAAACCTGCACATTGTGCACATGTACCCTAAAACTTAAAGTATAATAATAATAAAATTTTTAAAAAGTACTCTTTACAATTATATCAGAAATAGTTCAATGTATGAATATTTCAATTTCTGAGAAATTTAACTATAACTTCTTTTTCTTATTACTGTGACCACACAATGAAGCAACCAAGAGATTCCTTCAATTATTGAGTCAGCAATTCATCTATTTGCAAAGTTTTAGAAAGGCTTTTTCCTCCACTTTGGCAAGTATTTAATTCAGAGGCATCATAAGTCAGGGGAAATTAAGGCAAATAGTACATTTTTTGCATTGCACGGCAAAAACAGGATTCTGAGAAAGGGTGCAAAGAAAGATGATTCATTATGTGTGCCATAGCTCATACAAAAGGAATATTTGGGAATATTAAATTGATGTGTTTTCAGTCTTCTCCCTGCCTCCTAGTAGCAATTCCATCATCATTGATCTGGAAAAAGAAGAAAAGGGGAAAGGCCTATGAGGAAACGGCAGGTTCCCATGAGATGGGAGAAGGAGCATGGGAGCTTGGCACTGCAGCAGTGGGAAGACAGCAGGAGGAAGAAAAAGATAAAACATCTCGCTGTCCTCCCCTCGACTAATCCAGGCAACAAGGTAAAGAGATTGGGAATCAAGCCAAAAGTTGGTGTCCTCTGACCACATTTCTGTCTGAGATAGTGAGGTGATGATTTAGAAGCTGTCCTCACCTCAGCACAGGAGTGACCATTGCAGAATGAGAGAGGTGGTGCATCACTGTTGGTTAGAGATGGAAGGCCTTGGCCTTACTAGAGTCTTTCTGGAGGTGGCTTCAGCTCTCAAGAAGCATGGACAATAGTTTCATGTTTCCACATGCATCGTGGAGCAATGCAGAAGGTAGCTGATAATGCTAGATGGCAAGGGAGGTATCTGCTATAAAAATCAAATGGCACAGACACTGGAAGGTGCTGGAATGACCAGAGTTGGGAATCAGATCAGCTGCAAGCAGATTTCAGGGAGGTCCAGAAGCCCATCAAAGGTAAGCTGAGGCTGAATCTTCAGGGAGGTCCTCTGGGATATAACTGAGGCATGAGCAAAGAGAACTCCACTTGACCTGAGCAGACAAGTAGAATGAGGGAAACTGCTACCACAAGAAGAGGAGGCAGTGCCAGGACCTGCTCATGGCTCCTGGAGGCCCCATCATTATTCCCCAACCCAATCATGCCAAATCACTTATACCTCCATACATCCCAACATCATATGGGAAGAAAATATGAGTGAGGAAGTAACAATCTGAAAGATTAGGATTTGATCTAAAAGAAACTGATTTACCTTAAGAGACCATTTAAATTATTGAATCAGAATGATTAAATTTAGATATTTTATTCCCCTCTCACTAATTAGACAGAAAGAGGTTCTCAAAGGAGATAAAATATCTTCTGTAGAAAATAGAGCTACAAGCCCTTTGCACAGCTCAATGTAGTATGAGTTTAATTGGCAACCCTGATTCTCCAATAACAAATCATTATATTTCAGTCATCCGGCTACCTCATTCTGAGCTGGAAACACCAAGGTTTTGCCTCCACTGTCTGCCATCGCTTCTCCCCAGCTCTGCCCATCTGTGGGCTAAGCTCCTCTTGGGGCCTTGGCTCACTCATCATTAGGAACACATATCACCTCAAGCCTGGCACCCTGGGATGGTTTCCTGCAGCCTGTGCTCAGCCATTCTGAAGCTACTACTGGATTTGTCCTGGCTTTGAAAATTTGTGTGACTAAATTTCCAGAGTCTGTTCAGGGAACAGAGTCAAAAGAGCAGGAGCTTCAGAAAGAGACTTGGTGTTGGAGTCTGCTGCAGGCATCTATCACCTATCTGGCCATGAGCAAGCACTTTTCTATTTAAGCCTTCTTCTGTAAAGTGAAGTTAACAGTACTTACTTTTGAGGCTACTGTATGGGTTAGCAATACTATATATGAGTTGATGAATGTACTGATGAAGTTCAATAAATCCAGGCCACGTTATATGATTCTAGTTCCTTTTAAGGTGCCCAGTGCCCTGTAATTGCTTATTCACCTGCAACCATGGACCTCTGCTAAGGACCTCTGATCCTCCCCTACAGACAGAGCCTATTCTATGTATTCCCAGCTGCTCATAGACACTCCTGCTTCCTGAACAGGTGTCATGGATGCTCTGCCTTGACACTCAGACCTCCCTTCAGAACAGAAGGATACATGTCTGGCTACTGGCAGACACTCTCAGCCCTCTCTGAGAATTTCCTCAGCCAAAGTCACAACCCCTTTCCCAGGGGGCAGCCTGTATCCAAAAACTGATGGATACAGAAGAATACAGGCCAGTCCCATTGGCCCAAACCAGGGAAATGCTGAGAGGTCATCCCAATCTCAGAGCCCCCCACAGCCCTGGCTGAGGGAAGCTTTGGGGGCTTAGCCCAGTCCTGCTTCCTGTCGCTGTTGTGATGGTTAATTTTATGTGTCAACTTGACTGGGCTAAGGGATGCCCAGATAACAGGTAAAACATTATTTCTATTTCTCTAGAAAACCCTGAGTAATATAGATTTTGATCCTAAGAGCTCACCCTCATAAATATCCTGCATGTCGATCTCTGGCTCAGAGTCAGCTTCCTCAGGAACCTATTTGGTGAAAATAGGTCACCACATTCCACATTCAAAACCACTTACTTAGCGATTATTGTTAATGCTGTGCAGATATCCACATAAAATTTGGTTAAATGAACATTCATAACCCTCTTGGTCACTGTTTTTGACAATCACTGTGTGTCATAGACAGTGTACTCCTCTTATTCTGGTCCTTACTTCCTAAGGGTCCTCCTCCACCTGCCTGCCAGCCAAACACATCCCAGAGAGGCCACTACTTACCCAGTACCTTTAGTGTACTCGTAACACTGTAGTGTTAGTGTACTCATAACACTGTAGTGTTAGCTAACAGACATAGCCTTTACCCTTCCTTTGATCCAGAATGAGAATCTGCAACTGCCACAAGGTTTTTACATCATTGCCTCCACCCTATGTGAACAGACAATATCCACAGGAAATTGTCAATTTCTTTGCACAGACTAAGCACCTGCTTGTATTATTACCCTGCTGTATACAAATGAGCCATTTTAGGAAATGAGTAGAACAAATATGCTCTAGAAACTGCAGTACAAGCAGTACCCAATTTGCAGACAGGTTGTGTTCCCTGAGTTGATTTCCAAATTAGCTACTTGGAAATCAGAATGCATTATCCCAAGAAGCAGTGTTATAAATGATGGCCAGCTTCACAACTGTCATCCATAAGGCCCTGGTAAACTAGCAACATAATTAAAATGACACTGTCTTTAAGAATGGGCTGTTCTTTATGGGGTAAATGCCCTTTACAGGGCATAAGAAGGAAATTATTTGGCCCCAGGAACATGTGTCTCTCTTGCTCTTAGTTGTCCTCTCCTCTACCAGACATTTGTTGTAATCACTCATTTTCAAGATGGAAGCAGAGTAAGACAACCTGGCCCTTCTCTCCACTGTCCTCCAGAACTTGGACATTAATCTAATGTAGAGTTGGTGACTTCTGGCTTCTAGTGGATAATAAGCAAAATAAAGAGGCTCCAAGATGCATGCTGCACAGGGAGTACCTTCTCTGGCACAGAATTGTACATTTGTAGTTTGAGAATACCAGTATAAATGCAAAAGAGTAAATCCCAAAGGAACATTTGTATTTCCTATGCATAAGCCTAACAAAGAATGGCTGAAGTCAGAAAATGTAACCTCTGGTTTTGTTATATCACCCAACAATTCTACCTTGTCACGCGTATTCAAAAAATATCCTTCTAAAATGATACTTTCACAAGACCTCCTAAAGCCAAACAAGCATATCTGCAGCTCAATGCAGCATTTTCAAAACGTAATCCCTTGACCAGCACCATCAGCATCACATGCAAACTTGTTAGAAGTGCTAATTTTGGAAACCATCCCACACCTACTGAATAAAAACTCTGGGAGCTTGCACTGAGCCAAGATCGTGCCACTGCACTCCAGCCTGGGTGACAGCAAGACTCTGTCTCAAAAAAAAAAAAAAAAAACCTCTGGGATTGGAACCTAGAAATCTGTGTTTCAATAAGCTGTCTAGGTTATTCTCACTAAAGTTTGAGAAACACTTAACTAATGATTTTAATAATTTATTTTTTAAAAGAAATGACAAGAAACACTATCAATCTAACTGTTCCCTTCCATTTATGGCATAAAACATTACTTTTATGAGATACCCAGCAAGTCGACTCAAAAAAAGTGTATTCTATGTTTCTATGTGCAGGCTGCTGTTTGTCTGCTAAAGAAGATTAAAAAGTGAATAGATTAAATAGTGAATAGAATGCAAATCAAAGATTTGCAACCTTATGGAGTTAAAGGAAGGGAAGGCAACAAGGATATGCCTAATACCAGGGAGATTATTTGTAGTTTTATTAAAAATATATAAATAAAATGCTATGGAGAAAACAGAAATCAAACACAATTTTAGAGAAAGAAGTCAGATAAAAGTTTTGAGGCAACATCAGGGTCAGGCCTTGAAAGATTGGTATACATTTTAACAATGAAAGCAATGCGGCAGGGGGAGCCCGTGGAATTGGTGGAGGGCAATATTTCCTAAAAAAGGAGACAACACAAATGAAAGCCAAAGGGTGTGTAAGCATGGTACAAAGCTGCCTCCAAGTTGTGTCTTAAATAGGTTATAGCTGTGATTACATAACTTCTCCTCAACTTTTGGGGCAGCCAGGTGAAGAATGAAGCAGCCAGAAACCCTCCTATGTCTATTATTCCTGTCATAAGCAGTTGTGTGCAGTTACCCCAGTTAACTTATTAATGTCATTCCTATACGTACTATGATACCACAGACCTCATTTCAGGTACCAAGACAAATGCACAGAATTTAGAGTAGACACTGAGTAGATAAGGCAAAGAGATGAGAGGATCTTGGATGTCATACTGAGTAGACTGATCCTATTTAGAAGGCAATATTGTGTTTGAGGCAGAAAAAAAGGCATGATTTGCCTTGGGTAATAAACTTATTATCATACAATATGTAGAGTGAAAACAGATGAACTCAGCCAAATCGGTTAGGATGTTATCAAATTAGGACAGACAGGAAATATTAAGAGCTCAAATTACTGAGGAGCAGAAAAGGAAAGGATAGAGTTGTAGGACAATCAGTTTCAATTCAATAATATCTGATTGCCTAGGATATACAAGACACATGCCGCTTTGGAGAAAACAAAAATTGCAAAGGCTGCCCTTTATTTTAAATAAATTAAAATCTGTTATGCAGTAGTATAAGACCAATATAAAAATTTAATAAGTGGTAAACTGTAATTAGGGAAGCATAAAGTGTTATAGCAGTGTAAATCAATAAAAATAACCGAGGTGAGTCTTAATCATTTTAGGTTTATTTGCCAAAGATAAATATGAATGTCCAGGAGGCAGGTCTACAACTTTCTCCAAAGATGATTTTGAGGATTTCAATACTGAAAGGGGGCAAGAGGGCAAGATGGCTGAATAGGAACAGCTCCGGTCTGCAGCTCCCAGAGAGACCAACACAGAAGGCAAGTGATTGCGGCATTTCCAACTGAGGTACCCAGTTCATCTCACTGGGACTGGCTGGGCAGTGGGAGCAGCCCACAGAGGGTGAGCAGAAGCAGGGTGAGGCATTGCCTCAACCAGGAAATGCAAGAAGCCGGGGTCCTCATTCCCCAAGCCAACAGAAGCCATGGGAGACTGTGCTACAAGGCCTAGATACTATGCTTTTCCCATGAATTTTGCAATCCGCAGATCAGGAGATTCCCTCATGTGCCTACACCACCAGAGCCCTGGGTTTGAAGCACAAAACTGGGCGGCTGTTTCGACAGACACTGAGCTAGCTGCAGGAGTTTTTTCATATCACAATGGCGCCTGGAATCCCACTGAGACAGGACTGTTCTCTCCCCTGGAAAGGGGGCTGAAGTCAGGGAGCCAAGAGGTCTTCCTCAGCAGGTCCCATGCCCACAGAGCCCAGCAAGTTAAGAACCACTAGCTTGAAATTCTCACTGCCAGCCCAGCAGTCTGAAGTCAACCTGGGATGATCAAGCTTGGTGCGGGGAGGGACATCCACCATTATTGAGGCTTTAATAGGTGGTTTTCCCCTGACAGTGCTAAAAAGGCTGGGAGGTTTGGGATGGGTGGAATTCACCACAGAGCGGCAAAGCAGCTGTGGCCAGACTACTTCTCTAGATTCCTCCTCATTGGGCAGGGCATCTCTGAAGGAAAGGTAACAGGCCCAGTCATGGGCTTACAGATAAACTCCCATCGCCCTGGGACAGAGCACCTGGGAAAAAGGGTGGCTGTGTGCACAGCTTCAGACAACTTAAACTTTCCTGTCTGCTGGCTCTGAAGAGAGCAGCTAATCTAGACAAGGAGGATTCTCCCAGCACAGCACTCAAGCTCTGCTAAGGGACAGACTACCTCCTCAAGTGGGTACCTGACCCTCGTGCCTCCTGATTGGGAGAGACCTCCCAACAGGGGCTGACAGACACCTCCTACAGGAGATATCTGGCTGGCATCAGACCAGTGCCCCTCTGGGACGAAGCTTCCAGAAAAAGGAGCAGGCAGCAATCTTTGCTGTTCTGCAGCCTCCACTACTGATACTCAGGTGAACAAGGTCTGGAGTGGACCTGCAGAAGAGGGGCCTGATTGTTAGAAAAAAAACTAACAGAAAGCAACAATATCAACATCAACAAAAAGGACCCCCACACAAAAACCCCATCCAAGGGTCACCAGCCTCAAAAATCAAAGGTAGATAAATCCATGAAGATGAGGAAAAGCCAGCACAAAAATGCTGAAAATTCCAAAAACCAGAATTCCTCTGCTCCTCCAAAGGATCACAACTCCTCTCCAGCAAAGGAACAAAACTGGACGGGGAATGAGTTTGATGAACTGACAGAAGTAGGCTTCAGAAGGTGGATAATAACAAACTCCTCCAAGCTAAAGGAGCATGTTCTAACCCAATGCAAGGAAGCAAAGAACATTAATAAAAGGTTACAGGAACTGCTAACTAGAATAAGCAGTTTAGAGAAGAACATAAATGACCTGATAGAGCTGAAAAACACAGCAGGAGAACTTCGTCAAGCATACACAGTATCAATAGCAGAATCAATCAATCAGAAGAAAGGATATCAGAGAATGAAGATAAACTTACTGAAATAAGGTGCAAAGGGAAGATTAGAGAAAAAAGAATGAAAAGAAATGAACAAAGCCTCCAAGAAATATGGGACTATGTGGAAACACCAAACCTATGATTGATTGGTGTACCTGAAAGTGACTGGGAGAATGGAACCAAGTTGGAAAACACATTTCAGGATATTATTTAGGAGAATGTCCACAACCTAGCAAGACAAGCCAACATTCAAATTCAGGATATACAGTGAACACCACTAAGATACTCCTCAAAAAGAGCAACACATAATCATCAGATTCTCCAAGGTTGAAATAAAGAAAAAAATGTTAAGGGCAGCCAGAGAGAAAGGTCAAGTTATCTAAAAGGGAAGCCCATTAGACTAACAGCAGATGTCTCTGCAGAAACCCTACAAGCCAGAAGAGAGTGAGGGCCAATGTTCAACATTCTTTTTTTTTTAGATGGAGTCTCACTCTGTCACAAAGCTGGAGTACAGTGGCACAATCTTCGCTCACTGCAACCTCGACCTCCCAGGTTAAAGTGATTCTCCTGCCTCAGCCTCCCAAGTAGCTGGGACTACAGGGGCACGCCACCACGCCTAGCTAATTTTTGTATTTTTAGACGAGATGGAGTTTCATCATGTTGGCCAGGATGGTCTCGATCTCTTGACCTTGTGATCCACCCACCTCGGCCTCCCAAAGTGCTGGGATTACAGGCGTGAGCCACCATGCCTGAACTCAACATTCTTAAAGAAAAAAATTTTCAACCAAGAATTTCATATCCAGCCAAACTAAGCTTCATAAGTCAAGAAAAAATAAAATCCTTTACAGACAAGCAAATGCTGAGAGATTTTGTCACCACCAGGCCTGCCTTACAAGAGCTCCTGAAGGAAGCACTAAATATGGAAAGAAAAAACCAGTACCAGCCACTGCAAAAACACACCATAATATAAGACCAATGACACTATGAATAAACTGCATCAACTAATATGCAAAATAACCAGCTAGCATCATGACAACAGGATCAAATTCACACATAACAATATTAACCTTAAAGGTAAATGGGCTAAATGCCCGAATTAAAAGACACAGACTGGCAAACTGGATAAAGAGTCATGACCCATCGGTGTGCTGTGTTCAGGAGACCCATCTAACGTGCAAAGACACACATAGGCTCAAAATAAAGGGATGGAGGAATATTTACCAAGGAAATTGAAAGCAAAAGAAAGCAGGGTTTGCAATCCTGCTCTCCGATAAAACAGACTTTAAGCCAACAAAGATCAAAAAAGACAAAGGGCATTACATAATGGTAAAGGATCAATGTAACAAGAAGAGCTAACTATCCTAAATATATCTGCACCCAATACAGGAGCACCCAGATTCATAAAACAAGTTCTTAGAGATCTACAGAGAGATTTAGACTCCCACATAATAATAGTGGGAGATTTTAATACCCCACTGTCAATATTAGACAGATCAATGAGACAGAAAATTAACAAGAATATTCAGGAATTGAACGCAGCTCTGTACCAAGTGGACCTAATAGACATCTACAGAACTCTCCACCCCAAATCAACAGAATATACATTCTTCTCAGCACCACATCACACTTATTCTAAAATTGACCACATAACTGGAAGTAAAACACTCCTCAGTAAATGCAAAAGAACAGAAATAGTAACAAACAGTCTCTCAGATCACAATGCAATCAAATTAGAACTCAGGATTAAGAAACTCACTCAAAACCACACAATTACATGGAAACTGAACAACCTGCTCCTGAATGACTACTGGGTAAATAATGAAATCAAGGCAGAAATCAAGTTCTTTCAAACCAATGAGAACAGAGACAACATAGCAGAATCTCTGGGATACAGCTAAAGCAGTTTTTAGAGGGAAATTTATAGCACTAAATGCCCACACCAGCTGGAAAAATCTGAAATTGACACCTGAACATCACAATTAAAAGAACTAAAGAAGCAAGAGCAAACAAATTCAAAAGCTAGCAGAAAACAAGAAATAACTAAGATCACAGCAGAACTGAAGAAGATAGAGACATGAAAAAACTCTCAAAAAAATCCAGGAGGTTGTTTTTTTTTTTTTTTAAAGATTAACAAAATACATAGACTGTTAGCTAGGCTAATAAGAAAAGAGAGAAGAATCAAATAGACCCAATAAAAAATGATAAAGGGGATGTCACCACTGATCCCACAGATATACAAACTACCATCAGAGAATACTATAACCTTTACACAACTAACTAGAAAATCTACAAGAAATGGAAAAATTCCTGGACACATACACTCTCCCAAGACTAAAGGAGGAAGAAGTTGAATCCTTGAATAGACCAATACAAGTTCTAAAATTGAGGCAGTAATTAATAGCCTGTCAACCAAAAAAAAAAGCCCAGGACCAGACAGATTCACAGCCGAATTCTACCAGAGGTACAAGGAGGAGCTGGTACCATTCCTTCTGAAATTATTCCAAACAACAGAAAAAGAGGGACGCCTCCCTAACTCATTTTATGAGGCCAGGATCATCCTGATACCAAAACCTGCCAGAGACATAATAAAAAAATAAAATTTCAGGCCAATATCCCTGATGAACATTGATACAAAAATCCTCAATAAAATACTGGCAAAACAAATCCAGCAGCACATCAAAAAGCTTATCCACCATGATCAAGTCAGGTTCATCCCTGAGATGAAAGGCTGGTTCAACATACGCAAATCAATAAACGTAATCAATCACATAAACAGAACCAATGACAATAAACCACACTATTATCTCAATAGATGCAAAACAGGCCTTCAATAAAATTCAACATTGTTTCATGCTAAAAACTCTCAATAAACTAGGTATTGATGGAACATACTTCAAAATAATAAGAGCTATTTATGACAAACCCATAGCCAATATCATACTGAATGGGCAAAAGCTGGAAGCATTCCCTTTGAAAACTGGCACAAGACAAGGATGCCCTCTCTCAACACTCCTATTTAACATAGTATTGGAAGTTCTGACCAGGGCAATCAGGCAAGGGAAAGAAATAAAGGGTATTCAAACAGGAAGAGAGGAAGTAAAATTTTCTCTGTTTGCAGATGACATAATTGTATATTTTGAAAGCCCCATCATCTCAGCCCAAAATCTCCTTAAGCTGATAAGCAACTTCAGCAAAGTCTCAGGATACAAAATCAATGAGCAAAAATCACAAGCATTCCTATACACTAATAGACAAGCAGAAAGCCAAATCATGGGTGAACTCCCATTCACTATTGCTATACAGAGAATAAAATACTTAGGAACACAACTTACAATGGACATGAAGGACCTCTTCAAGGAGAACTACAAACCACTGCTCAAGGAAATAAGAGAGGACACAAACAAATGGAAAAACATTCCATGCTCATGGATAGGAAGAATCAGGATCGTGAAAATGGCCATACTGCCCAAAGTAATTTATAGATTCAATGCTATTCCCATCAAACTACCATTGACATTCTTTGCAGAATTATAAATAACTACTTTAAATTTAATATGTATCCAAAAAGATCTTCTATAGCTAAGACAATCCTAAGCCAAAAGAACAAAGCTGGAAGCATCACACTACCTGACTTCAAACTACACTACAAGGCTACAGTAACCAAAACGGTATGGTACTGCTACCAAAACAGATATATAGACCAATGGAACAGAACAGAGACCTCAGAAATAACATCACACATATACAACCATCTGATATTTGACAAACCTGACAAAAACAAGCAACAGGGAAAGTATTCCCTATTTAACAAATGCTGCTGAAAAAACTGGCTAGCCATATGCAGAAAACAGAAATTGGACCCCTTTCTTACACCTTATATAAAAATTAACTCAAGATGGATTAAAGACTTAAATGTAAAACCTAGACCCATAAAAACCTTAGAAGAAAACTTAGGCAATACCATTCAGTACATAGGCATGGGCAAGACTTCATGACTAGACACCAAAAGCAATTGCAACAAAAGCCAAATATCACAAATGGGATATAACTAAACTAAAAAGCTTCTGCATGGCAAAAGAAACTAGCATTAGAGTGAAGAAGCAAACTCACAGAATGGGAGAAAATTTTTGCAATCTATCCATCTGACAAAGAGTTAATATCCAGAATCTACAAGGAACTTAAACAAATTTACAAGAAAAAAACAAACAACCCCATAAAAACTAGGCAAAGAATATGAACAGATACTTCTCAAAAGAAGATATTTATGTGGCCAACAAACATATGAAAAAAAGCTCATCACTGGTCATTAGAGAAATGCACATCAAAGCCACAATGAGATACCATCTCATACCAGTTAGAATGGCGATCATTAAAAAGTCAGGTAACAACAGATGCTGGTGAGGATGTGGAGAAATAGGAATGCTTTTACATTGCTAGTTGGAGTGTAAATTACTTCAACTGTTGTGGAAGACAGTGTGGTTATTCTTCAAGGATCTAGAACCAGAAATACCATCTGACCCAGCAATCCCATTACTGGGTGTATACCCAAAGGATTATAAATCATTCTACTAAAAAGACACATGCATATGTATGTTTATTGCAATACCATTTACAATAGCAAAGACTTGGAACCAATCCAAATGCCTATCAATGATGGACTGGATAAAGAAAATATGACACATATACACCATGGAATACTATGCAGCCATAAAAAAGAATGAGTTCATTTCCTTTTTGGGGACATGGATGAAGCTAGAAACCATCATTATCAGCAAATTAACACAGGAACACAAAACCAAACACCACATGTTCTCACTCATAAGTCGAACAATGAGAATAAATGGACACAGGGAGGGGAACATCACACACTGGGGATGTCAGGGGGTGGGGAGCAAGGGGAGGGAGAGCATTAGGAGAAATACATAATGCATGCGGGGCTTAAAACCTAGATTATGGGTTGATAGGTGCAGCAAACCACCATGGCACATGTATACCTATGTAACAAACCTGCACGTTCTGCACATATATCCCAGAACTTAAAGTAAAATTAGAGGAAAAAAAAAAAAAAAACTGGCCAGGGACGGTAGCTCATGCCTGTAATCCCAGCACTTTGGGAGGCCGATTCAGGCAGATAACAAGGTCAGGAGTTCGAGACCAGCCTGGCCAACATAGTGAAACGCCATCTCTACTAAAAATACAAAAAATTAGCCAGGCGTGGTGGTGGTCACCTGTAATCCCAGCTACTCTGGAGGCTGAGGCAGGAGAATCACTTGAACCTGGGAGACGGAGGTTACAGTGAGCCGAGATCGCACCATTGCACTCCAGCCTGGGAGACAGTGCAAGAGTCCATCTCATTAAAAAAAAAGAAAGAAAGAAAGAAAGAAAGAAGAAAAAATACTGATTGGGGAAAGGGCAAACATTGGGAGAAGAAAAAATATTTTTTAAAATGTATTGGTAGATAAGAGACAAATGGTTGAATCCTTTTGAGTCTTTGATCAACCTTTCCCTGAATACACAATTTTCATGTGAGAAAGGTGGTCACAGAAATAGTCACACAGAAATGTCCCCTTGACATTTCCCTTTACGCCTTCATCTGGCTCAGTGAATCTGCATTTTTATGTGAGATAACATAAACAATAGGGCAGACAAAGCAATCAGATACGCATTTGTCTCAGGTGCACAGGATGACTTTGAGTTCTGTCCTTTGTCCCGCACCTGTGAAGATAAGCTCTCAATTTATACTGCCAGGGTGAAATTCATCAGAACTATTATAGCATAAAGATCATAAGACCTATAAGAAATTTCTTTGTGGGAAAACTGTGAGGAAAGGTATATAGCTTTTTATCTTTAAGCTCTCTTATTTAGAAATCAAATGGGAGGCAGGTTTGTGTGACCCAGTTCCCAGCTTGACTTTTCCCTTTGGCATAGTGAGTTTGGGGTCCTGAGATTTATTGTCTTTTCATAGAGATTTAAATGATTTTAAGATTACTTTTATATGAAAGAATTATAAATTATTTCATAGATAAAGTACGTCATGAGCCTTCAAGAATGAAAAGTATTGCTGAAAGAGGTATAGGTAAGGATATTCCAACAATAGAGAATTAAATAGGTTAAAAAAAAAAGACAAAGGTAGATGAGCTTGATTGAGTGTTACAAGTGCAATGTAGTTGAAAAGATGGGAAATGAGCTTGAAGATATAGGTTATGGGTACATTGCTAAAGGCTTAAATGTCAGGAGACAAAGAGTTGGTACTTAAGAAAGTACATTAGTACATTCACAAGTTAAATCTGAACATGAAAAGAGTAAACTAGGAAAATCAAAGGAGTTTGGGCTTGCCAGATATGCAAAAAAAAAGCTGATCTGCATAGTTCTAAAACATTAATATTCCCAGTTTCACACATTCTTTTGGTGGGACAAGACACTATACAAACTCTCCAGGAAGAAATACAAATTTAAGGAATTGCAGGTGGATCACTTGAGCCCAGGAGTTTGAGACCAGCCTGGACGACATGCAAAACCCCATTTTTACCAAAAATGCAACAAAATTAGTCAGCCATGGTGGCATGCACCAGTAAACCCAGCTACTCAGGTGGCTGAGGTGGAAGGATCTCTTGAGCCCAGGAGGTTGAGGCCACAGTGAGCCATGATTGCACCACTACACTCCAGCCTGGGAAACAACAGCAAGACCCTGTCTCAAATAAAAAAATTAAAAATTTAAAATAGAGCCCAAGCCAATCAGGGCAGAAGTGATACCCCAGCACACCACAGCTGCTCTATGAAAGTGTGGCCAGACTGCTTCAAGTGAATTCCCAATACCATTCCTCCTCAATGGGTACAACCTCTGAACTGGGGCCTCAAGCCACCCCTGCTGGTGTTCTTTAGTCAAAAGAAATTTGAATTCTCCTTGAGATGAAGTACTCAGGGGAGGGGTGGGCCACCATCTTTGTAGTTTGGGGAACTCAGCCATTCCAGCCTATGGGCTTTGGAGAGTCTAAACCAACCAGGGGCAGAAAGGATCCCCAAGCACAGCACAGCTGCTCTACCAAAACATGGCCAGACTGCTTCTTTAAGTGGGTCCCCAATCCTATTCCTCCTCACAGGGTGGGACCTCCCAACTGGGGCTTCCAGCCAACTCTTACAGATACATTCAGGCTGCAACAGGTCTGTAGCTCTCTGGGATGGAGCTCCCAGAGGAGGGGGCAGGCTGCAATCATTGCTGTTTCACAGCCTTCACTGATGATACCTCTAAGAACTGGAAAATCTGAGGCAACTAGGGACTTGAGTGGACCTCAGGCAAACTGCAGTAGCCCTACAGAAGAGTGGCCAAACTGTTTAAAAAAAAAATCCAAAAGTCAGCAACCTCAATGATTAAAAGTAGATAAGCCCACAAAAATGAGAAACAATCAGTGTAAGAACACTGAAAACTCAAAAAGCCACAGTGTCTTCTTTCCTCCAAATGACCATATCACCTCTCTAGCAAGGGTTCAGAACTAGGCTGAGGCTGGGGTGGTTGAAATGACAGGAGTAGCATTCAAAATGTGAATAAAAACTAACTTCACTGAGTGAAAGAAACATGTTGTAACCCAATGCAAGAGAGCTAAAAATCATGACAAAACATTGCAGGAGCTGACAGACAAAATAGCCAGTATAGAGAAGAATATAATGAACCTGAGAGAGCTGAAAAACATACTGTAAGAATTTCATAATGCAATCACAAGTATTAGTAACAGAATAGACCAAGTGGAGAAAAGATCTCAGAGTTTGAAGACTGTCTTTCTGAAATAACACAGGCAGATGAGAATAGAGAATAAAGAATGAAAAAGAAATAATAAAATCTCCAAAAAATATGGGATTATGTATAGAGACCAAACCTATGACTGATTGGTGTACCTGAAAGAGATGAGAGAATGGAACCAATTTGGAAAACATATTTTAGGATATCATCCATGAGAATTTCCCTAACCTAGCAAGACAGGCTAACATTCAAATTCAGGAAATGCAGAGAACCCCAGTAAGATACTCCATGAGAAGATCATCCCCAAGACACATAATCATCCGATTCTCCAAGGTCAAAGTGAAAGAAAAAATGTTAAGGCCAGCTAGAGAGAAAGGCCAGATCACCTACAAAGGGAAGCCCATCAGACTAACAGCAGAGCTCTCAGAAGAAACATTATAAGCCAGAAGAGATTGGGGTCCAGTATTCAACATTCTTAAAGAAAAGAAATTCCAACCCAGAATTTCATATCTGGCCTAACTAAGCTTCATAAACAAAGGAGAAATAAGTTCTTTTTCAGACAAGCAAATCCTGAGGGAATTCATTACCACCAGACCTGCCTTACAAGAGCTCCTGAAGGAAGCACTAAATATGAAAAGGAAAAACCATTACCAGCCACTACAGGAACACCAACTGAAGTACACAGACCAGTGACACTATAAAGCAACCACATAAACAAGTCTGCAAAACAACCAGCTAACATCATGATGACAGGATCAAATCCACACATATCAATACTAACCTTAAATGTAAATGGGCTAAATGCCCCAATTAAAAGACACAGAGTGGCAAGCTGGATAAGGAGTCAAGACCCATCAGTATGCTGTCTTCAAAAGACCCATCTCACATGCAATGACATACATAGGTTCAAAATAAAGGGAAGGAAGAAAATCTACCAAGCAAATGGAAAACAAAAAAAAGCAGGGGTGGCTGGGCACAGTGGCTCACCCTGTAATCCCACACTTTGGGAGGCTGAGATGAGCAGACAGCTTGAGGTCAGAAGTTCGAGACCAACCTGGCCAACATGGTGAAACTGTGTCTCTACAAAAAATACCAAAAATTAGCCAGGCATAGTGGCATGCATCTGTAATCTCAGCTACTCAGGAGTCTGAGGCACGAGAATTGCTTGAACCTGGGAGGCGGAGGTTGGAGTGAGCTCAGATTGTACCACTGCACTCCGGCATGGATGACAAAATGAAATTCCGTCTCAAAAGAAAAAAAAAAGAAAAAGCATAGATTGCAATCCTACTTTCTGACAAAACAGACTTTAAACCAACAAAGATCAAAAAAGACAAAGAAGGTAAAGTGTTCAATTCAAAAAGAAGAGCTATCCTAAATATGTATGAACCAAAGGCCGGGCGTGGTGGCTTACACCTGTAATTCCAGTACTTTGGGAGGCCAAGGAGGGTGGATTACCTGAGGTCAGGAGTTCAAGACCAGCCTGACCAACATGGAGAAACTCCATCTCTACTAAAAATACAAAATTAGCCAGGTGTGTTGGTGCATGTTTATAATCCAAGCTACTCGGGAGGCTGAGGCAGGAGAATCACTTGAACCCAGGAGGTGGAAGTTGTGATGAGCCGAGATCGTGACATTGCACTCCAGCCTGGGCAACAAGAGTGAAATTCCATCTCAAAAAAATTTTTAAAAAACATACATATATATATGAACCAAACACAGGAGCTTCATAAAGCAAGTTCTTAGAGAATGTCAGAGACATTGATTCCTACATAATATAGTGGGAGACTTTAACACCACTGACAGTATTAAACATATTATCAAGACAGAAAATTGACGGATATTCAGGACCTAAACTCAGCACTGGATCAAATGGACCTGATAGATATCTACAGAGGTCTTCACCCAAAAACAACAGAACATACATTCTTCTCATTGCCACATGGCATTTATTCCCAAAATTGATCACATAATCAGACATAAAACAATCCTCAGCAAATGCAGAAGAGCGGAAATAGTAATAAACAGTTTTCAGACAACAGCATAATCAAATTAGAACTCAAGACTAAGAAATTCACTGAAAACCATACAATTACATGGAAATCGAATAACCTGCTACTGAATTATTTGGGGTTAATAATGAAATTAAGGCAGAAATCAGTAAGTTCTTTGAAACTAATGAGAAGAAATAATGTACCAGAATCTCTCGACATAGCTAAGACAGTGTTAAGAGGGAAATTAATAGCACTAAATGCCCACATCTAAAATGTAGAAAGATCTCAAGTTAACAAACTAACATCACAACTAAAAGAACTAGAGAACCATATGCAAACAAATCCAAAAGCTATCAGAAGACAAGAAATAACCAAAATCAGAGCTGAGCTGAAGGAGATAGAGACATGAAAAATCATTCAAAAGATCAATGAATCCAGGAGCTGATTTTTTGAAAAAATTTATAGAGAGACCACTAGCTAGACTAACAAAGAAGAAAAGAGAGAAGATTTAAATAAACACAATCAGAAACAATAAGCATGACAGTATCACTGACCCCACAGAAATACAACCATCAGAGAATTATAAATGCCTCTATTCACATAAACTAGAAAATCTAGAAGAAATGGATAAATTTCTGAACACATACACCCTCTCAAGACTGAACCAGGAAGAAATTGAGTCCCTGATCAAACCAATAATAAGTTCAGAAATTGAGGCAGTAATACAAATTCTACCAACTACAAAAACCCTAAGACCAGACAGATTCACAGCTAAATTCTACCAGATGTACAAAGAAGAGCTGGTACCATTCCTACTGAACCTATTCCAAAAACTGAAAAAGAGGGACTCCTCCCTAAGTCATTCTATGAGGCCAGAATCATCGTGATACCAAAACCTGACAGAGACACAACAAAAAAAGGAAACTTCAGGCCAATATCCTTGATGAATATTGACGCAAAAATCTTCAACAAAATATTGGCAAACCAAATCCAACAGCACATCAAAAAGCTTATCCACCATGATCAAGTAGGCTTCATCTCTGGGAGGCAAGTCTGGTTCAACATACACAAATCAATAAATGTGATTCATCACATCAACAGAACCAAAGGAAAACAATCACATGTTTATCTCAATAGATAATCACTTAGGTTTTTCACATGAAGGGATATTGAATTTATTTCCTGTAGAAAAAGCTTTTGATAAAATTCAATATCCCTTCCTTTTAATTATTTAGAATAGTTTCAGTAGGAACACTGCCAGCACTATTTTTGTACATCCCTTCATGTCAAAAACTTAATAAGCTTCAATACCTAATAAAATAGGTATTGAAGGAACATACCTCAAAATGATAATAGCCATCTATGGCAACCTAATTCAGCCATCACAGTGAATGGACACAAGCTGGAAGCATACCCCTTGAAAACCAGCGCAAGACAAGGATGCCCTCTCTCACCACTCCTATTCAACATAGTATTGAACGTTCCAGCCAGGAAAATTAGGCAAAGAAAGAAAGAAAGCGCAAATAGGAAGCCAGGACATCAAATGATATAATTTCACTTTGTGTCCCTGCCCAAATCTCATGTCAAATTATAATCCCTAGTTTTGGAAGAGGGGCCTGGTGTGCAGTGATTGGATCATGGGGGCAATTTCTAATGGTTTAACAACATCCTCCTTAGTGCCACTTGTTTAAAAGTTTATAGCACCTCTCCCCTCTCCTGCCCACCATATGAAGATGTGCTTCCATCCCCTTCACCTTCTGCCATGATTGTAAATTTTCTGAGGTCTCCCCAGAAGTAGAACTCTGTACAGCCCACAGAATCATAAGCTGATTAAACCTGTTTTCTTCATAAATTACCCAGTCTCAAGTAGTTCTTTATGGCAGTGTGAGAACGAGCTAATACATCAAATTATCCCTGTTTGCAGATGGCGTTACCCTATATCTAGAAAACCCCATCGTCTCAGCCCCAAAGCTTCTTATGCTGATAAGCAACTTCAGCAAAGTCTCAGGATACAAAATCAACGTGCAAAAATAGCTAGCATTCAGCCAGGCTCGGTGGCTCATGCCTGTAATCCCAGCACTTTGGGAGGCCAAGGTGGGCGGATTATGAGGTCAGGAGTTCAAGATCATCCTGGCCAACATAGTGAAACCTTGTCTCTACTAAAAATATAAAAAATTAGCCAGGCATGGTGGTGGGTGCCTGTAATCCCAGCTACTCGGGAGGCTGAGGCAGAAGAATTGCTTGAACCCAAGAGGTGGAGGTTGCAGTGAGCCAAGATAACACCATTCCACTCCAGCCTGGGTGACAGTGTGAGACTCCATTTAAAAAAAAAAAAAAATAGCTAGCATTCCTATACACCAACAACAGTCAAGCTGAAAGCCAAACCACAAACTCCCATTGACAACTGCCACAAAAAAGAATAAAATACCTAGGAATGCAGCTAACTAGGGAGGTGAAAGATCTCTAAAGGAGAACTACAAACCACTGCTCAAAGAAATCAGCAATGACACAAACAAATGGAAAAACATTCCATGCTCACGGATAGAAAGAATCAATATCATTAAAATGGCCATACTGCCCAAAGAAATTTACAGATTCAATGCTATTCCCATTAAACTACCATTGATATTCTTCACAGAACTAGAAAAACCTATTTTAATATTCATATGGAACCAAAAAGGAGCCCAAATAGCCAAGGCAATCCTAAGCAACAAGAACAAAGCTAGAGGCATCATGCTACCTGACTTCAAACTATACTGCAGAGCAACAGTAATGAAAACAGCATGGTACTGGTACAAGAACAGACACATAGACCAATGGAACAGACTACAGAACCCAGAAATAAGACTACACACCAACAACTATCTGATCTTTGAAAACCTGAAGAAAAAAAAAACAAGCAATGGAGAAAGAATTCCATATTCAATAAATGGTGCTGTGATAAATGGCTAGCCATATGCAGAAGACTGAAACTGGACCACTTACTTACATCTTTGATAAGGTTTGGCTATGTCCCCACCCAAATCTCATCTCAAATTGTAATCTGAATTGTAATCCCTATGTGTCAAGGGAAGGACCTGGTACAAGGTGATTGGATCCTGGAGGCAGTTTCTCCCATGCTGTTCTCATAATAGTGAGGGAACTCTCATGAGATCTGGTTGTTTGATAAGTTTCCCCTGTGTTCTCTCTCTCTCCTGCCACCTTGTGAAGAAAGTGCTTGCTTCCCCTTCACCTTCTGCCATGATTGTAAGCTTTCTGAGGCCTCACAAGCCATGTGGAACTTTGAGTCAATTAAACCTCTTTTGTTTATGAATTACCCAGTCTCAGGTAGTATCACAGCATTGTGAGTATGAACTAATACAGATAATTGGTACAAGCACAATGGGGTACTGCTATAAAGATAACACAAAAATGTGGAGTGACTTTGGAACTGGGAAACAGGCAGAGGCTGGAACAGTTTGGATGGGTCAGAAAAAGAAAGATGTGGGAAAGTTTGGAACTTTCTAGAGACTTGTTGAATAGTTTTGACCAAAATGCTGATAGTGACATGGACAACGAAGACCAGGCAGAGGTGGTCTCAGATAGAGATGAGGAACTCATTGGGAACTGGAGAAAAGGTCACTCATCGTATGCTTTAGCAAAGAGACTAGGGGCCTTTTGCCCCTGCCCTAGAGATCTGTAAAATTTTGAACTTGAAAGAGATGATTTAGAGTATCTGGCAGGAGAAATTTCTAAGCAGCAAGGCATTTAAGCTGTGACCTGGCTTATTCTGAAAGTGTTCAGCTATATGTGTTCACAAAGAGATCCTCTGAAATTGGAACTTATGTTTAAAAAAGAAGCAGAGCATAAAGGTTGGAAAATTTGCAGCCTGACCATGTGGTAGAAAAGAAAAACCCATTTTCTGTGGACGAATTCAAGCTGGCTGCAGAATTTTGCATAAGTAATGAGGAACTGAATGTTAATAGCCAAGACCATGGGGAAAACGTCACCAGGGCATATCAGAGACCTTCACACCAACCCCTCCCATCACAGGCCCAAAGGCATAGGAGGGAAAAATGGTTTCACTGGCCAGGCCCAGGGCCCAGCTGCTCTGTGTAGCTTTGGGACTTGGTGCCCTGTGTCCGAGCTGCTCCAGCTCTAACTATGGCTAAAAGGGACCAAGGTACCACTCGAGCCATTTCTTCAGAGGGTGCAAGTCCCAAGCCTTGGCTTCTTCCACATGGTGCTGGGCCTATGGGTATAAAAAACACAAAAGTTGATCTTTGAAACCTCCACCTAGATTTCACTGAATGGATGGAAATACCTGGATTTCCAGGCAGAAGTCTGCTACAGGGGCAGAACCCTCATGGAGAACTTCTACTAGGGTAATACAGAGGGTAAATGTGGGGTTGGAGCCCACATATAGAGTCCTCACTATGGCACTGCCTAGTGGAGCTATGAGAAGAGGCCCACCACCCTCCAGACCCCAGAATGACAGATCGACCAACAGCTTGCACCATACACTTGGAAAAGCTACAGGCACTCAATGGCAGGCTGTGAAAGCAGCCACAGGGGCTATACCCTGCAGAGCCACCAGGGTGGAGCTTCCCAAGGCTGTGGGAGCCCATCCCTTGCATCAGCATGCCCCAGATGTGAGACATGGAGTCAAAGTAGATTATTTTGAACCTTTAAGATTTAATGACTGCCTGGCCTGGTTTTGGACTTGCATGGGGCATCTGGCTCTTTGTTTTGGCCAATTTCTCCCACTTGGAATGGGAACATTTATCCAATGTCTGCACTCCCATTCTATCTTGGAAGTAACTAACTTGTTTTTGATTTTACAGGCTCACAGGCAGAAGGGACTTGCCTTTTCTCAGATGAAACTTTGAACTTGGACTTTTGAGTTAATGCTGGAATGATTTAAGACTTTGAGAAAGTGTTGGGAAGGCATATTTGGTTTTGAAATATGAAAAGGACATGAGATTTGGGAGGAGGCATGGACAAAATCATATGGTTTGGCTGTATCTCTTCCCAAATCTCATCTCAAGTTGTAATCCAAAATTGTAATCCCCATATGTTCAGTGAGGGACCTTGTAGAAGGTGATTGGATCATGGGGGCAGTTTCCTCCATGATGTTCTCATGATAGTGAGGGAGCTCTCACGAAATCTTTTTGGTAAGTGACTGGCAGTCTCCCCTGTGATCTCTCTCTCCTGCCACCTTGTGAAGAAGGCGCTTCTTTCCCCTTCACCTTCCACCATACTTGTAAGTTTCCTGAGGCCTCCCCAGCCATGCAAAACTGTGAGTCAATTAAACCTCTTTTGTTTATAAATTACCCAGTCTTGGGTAGTATCCTTATAGCAGTGTGAGAATGGACTGATACAATAATATACAAAAATTAACTCAAGATGGGTTAAATATTAAAACGTAAAGCCCAAAACTATAAAAACCCTGGAAGGCAATGTAGGCAATAACTTCAGGACATAGGCATAGGCAAAGATTTCATGACAGACACCAAAAACAATTGCAACATAAGCAAAAACTGACAAATGAGATCTAAACTAAAGAGCTTGTGCACAGCAAAATAAGCTATCAACAGAGGAAACAGACAACCTACAGAATGGGAGAATATTTTTGCCAACTATGCCTTAGACAAAGGTCTAATATCCAGCATCTATAAAGAACAAATTTACAAGATAAAAAACAGCCCCCATAAAAAAAGTGGGCAAAGAACATGAATAGACACTTCTGAAAAGAAGACATATATGTAGCCAGCAGCGTATGAAAAAAAGCTCAACATCACTTCTCATTAGAGAAATGCAAATCAAAACCACAATGAGATAACATCTCTCATGAGTGAAAATGGTTACTATTAAGAAGTCAAACAACAGCAGATGCTGGTAAGGTTGTGGAGAAAAAGGAATGCTTATACACTGTTGGTAGGAGTGAAAATTAGTTCAGCAGTTATGGAAGACAGTGTGGCAATTCCTCAAAGACCTAAAGACAGAAATATCATTCGATTCAGCAATCCCATTACTAGGTATATACCCAAAGGAATATAAATCATTCTATTATGAAGACACATGCACACATATGTTCACTGCAGTGTTATTCATAATAACAAAGACATGGAATCAACCTAAATACCCATCAGTGATAGACTAGATGAACAAAATATGGTACATATACACCATGGAATACTATGCAACCATAAAAAAAGAACAAGAGCATGTCCTTTGCAGGGACATGGATGAAGCTGGAGGCCAGTATCCTTAGCATAGTAACACAGGAACAGAAAACCAAATATTGCATGTTCTCACTTATATGTGGAAGCTAGGTGATGAGAACACATGGACACATAGAGGGGAACAACACACAATGGGGCCTTTCAGAGGGTGGAGGGTGGAAGGAAGGAGATAATAAAAAAAATCAACCAATGGGTACTAGGCTTAATAACTGGGTGATGAAATAATCTGTATAACATACCCCCATGACACAAGTTTACTTACGTAACAAACCTGAATTTGTACCACTGAACTTAAAACAAAAGTTTAAAAAAAGAATAAAGAGAGCTTCAAATAATGAAAGGATAGAAGTTGAATGAGAGTAGTACCTGTCCTACTTTAGGTACCTTGAATTATTTGGAGGTACTTACAAAATTCTTTGAAATTTATTTCTTCTGCTCTTCAATTTAATTATTTTAATCAAGTATGTGCTATGCACAAAGCACTGAGGCAGACACTGGGAATTACAGGTAAAATACAATTCAAGGCAGCAGCACCAGACATCACTGAGCTTATAGTCTATCAAGGGATACTGACCAATAAACAGTGATCATAATAGAAGAAGTATGTCATACTGCGGGGACACTTAGGAAAGATTCCTATCTCAGAATTGGGTTACTCAAGGAAGATTTTATCATTGTGAAAACCATATTTTCCATTAACTCTTTGGGCAATGTTGCCATAAGTCTTGATTACCTGTTAGAGTGTACCATAGAAAAGTGGTCTAAAATTGAAGGGTCAGCTCCCCCCAAAAAAAAAAATGAAAAAAAATCAAAATAAAAATCAGACATTTACTTTAAAGTAATAATTACACTTATAGAAATTTATCCTGAGGAAATAAATGTACAAATGTCTATATAAAATAGTGGACTATGCAAATTTACTCACCAGTAGTAATTTTATAATTTAATTGGACTTTTAATTGGACTTGGCAAAATAGATGCAAAACCATAACCCAACTACATACTGCATACTAGACAAAAATTAGTAAAGTAAAAGTACAATACAATATATACCAGGAAAACAGTAACCAAAAGAGAGGTAGAGTGGATATGCTAATATCAGACAAAATAGTCTTTAAGACAAAAATGGTTACCAGATAAAAGAAGGATGTTTACAGTGACAAAATCAAGAAGATATAACATTTATAAATACATATGCACTTAACAACAGAGCCCCCAATTTAAGAAGGAAAAAGTGACAATTAGAGAAATATCAATGATAATAGTAGAAAACTTTAAGACCCCATTTTCAATAATGAATAGAACAACTAGAAAGAACCGCAACAAGAAAATAAAAGACGTGAACAACACCATAAGCCAACTAGACCTAGAAGATATCTATTGAACATTCCATACAACAGAATATATATTTTTCTCAACTGCAAATGAAACACTCTTCAGGAGGGACCTGGAGAGAGGTGAAATCTAGATGGAGGTTCCCAAACCTCAATTCTTCACTTCTGTGCACCTGCGGTTCCAACACCCTGTGGAAGCCACCAAGGGGTGGGGCTTACACCCTCTGAAGCAATGGCCTGAACTACATCTTCACCCCTTTTAGCCACAGCTGGAGCTGAAGCAGTTGGGACACAGGACACCAAGTCCTGAGGATGCACACAGCAATAGGGTCTGGGCCTGGCCCACAAAATCACTCCTGACACTAAAAACTATCAGAACAGCATAATGGAAACTGTTCCCATGATCAAACCACCTCCCATCAAGTCCCTCCCTTGACACGTGGGGATTAGGGGGATTGCAATTCAAGATGAGATTTCAGTAGGGACACAGAGCCAAACCATATCATTCCCCCTTGCTGTTTCTGTGATAGTGAGTGAGTTCTCATGAGATCTGGTTGTTTGAATGTGTGTGGCACTTACCCCTTCCCTAGGTCTCTCTCTCCTGCTCCACCATGGTAAGAATTATTTGCCTCACCTTTACCTTACACCATGATTGTGAGTTTCCTGAGGCCTTCCAATCATGCTTTCTGTTAAGCCATGCAGATCTGTTGTGAGTCAAACCTCCTTTGTTTATAAACTACCCAGATATAAGTAGTATCTTTATAGCAGTGTGAAAACGAACTAATACAGTAAATTAGTACCATGGAGAGTGGGGTACTGCTATAAAGGTAACTGGAAAATGTGGAAGTGACATTGGAACTGGGTAATAGGCAGAGATTGGAACGGTTTGAAGCATTCAGAAAAAAAATTAAAAAGATGTGGGAAAGTTTGGAACTTCCTAGAGGCTTGTTGAATGGTTTTGACCAAAATGCTGATAATGATGTGGACAAGGAAGTCCAGGCTGAAGTGGTCTTAGATGGAGATAAGGAACTTCTTGGGAACTGGAGCAAAGGTCACTCTTGCTATGCTTTAGCAAAGAGACTGAAAGCATTTTGCCCCTGCCCTAAAGATCTCTGGAATTTTAAATTTAAGAGAGATGATCGGAAATTGAAACATGTTTAAAAGGGAAGCAAAGCACAAAAGTTTGGAAAATTTGCAGCCTGACAATGCAATAGAAAAGAAAAACTCATTTTCTGGGGAGAAATTCAAGCCAGCTGTAGATATTTGCATAAGTAATGAGAAGCCCAAGGTTAATAGCCAAGACAAAGAAGAAAATGTCTCCAGGACCAGTCAGAGATCTTAACAGCAGGCCCTCCCATCACAGGCCCTGAGTCCTAGGAAAAAGAAATAGTTTCATGAACCAAGCCCAGAGCCCCGCTGCTGTGTGTAGCCTTGGGACTTGGTGACCTGGATCCCAGGTGCTCCAACTCCAGCTGTGGCTAAAAGGGGCCAAGATACAGTTCAGACCATGGCTTCAGAGAATGCAAGCCCTAAGCCTTGGCTTCTTCCATGTGGTGTTGGGCCTGAAGGTGCAGAGAAGTCAAGAATTGAGGTTTAGGGACCTCTGACTAGATTTCAGAGGATGGATGGAAATGCCTGGATGTCCAGGAAAAAGTCTGCTGCAGGGGTGGAGCCCTCATGGAGAACCTCTGCTAGGGCAGTGTGGAAGGAAAATATGAGTTTGGAACCCCCACAAAGAGTCCCCACTGTAGCACTGCCTAGTAGAGCTGTGAGATACAGCCACCATCCTCCAGACCCCAGAATGATAGGTTCACTGACAGCTTGCACCCTACACTTGGGAAAGCTGCAGGCACTCAATGCCAGCCCATGAAAGCATCCAGGAGAGGGATTATACCCTGCAAAGCCACAGGGGCAGAGCTGCCCAAGACCATGGGAGCCCACCCCTTGCATCAGTGTGCCCTGGATGTGAGACATGTAGTCAAACAAGATCCTTTCAGAGCTTTTAATTTTAATGACTGCCCTGTTGGGTTTTGGACTTGCATGGGGACTGTGGCCCCTTTGTTTTGGCCAATTACACTCATTTGGAATAAGAGAATGTATCCAATTGTATCTTGGAAGTAATGAACTTGTCTGAGATGAGATTTTGAACTTTTGAGTTTTAGGTTAATGCTGAAATGACTTAAAACTTTGGGGGACTGTTGGGAAGGCATGATTGTGTTTTGAAATGTGAACACATGAGATTTGGGAGGGGCCAGGAATGAAATAATATGGTTTGGCTCTGTGTCCCCACCCAAATCTCATCTCAAATTGTAATCTCCAAAATCTCCAGGTGTTGAGGGAGGGACAAGGTGGGAGGTGATTGTATCATGGGGGTGGTTTCCCCCAGGCCATTCTCAGGATAGTGAGTGAGTTCTCACAAGATATGATGCTTTTATAAGTGTTTGACAGTTCCTGCTTCACACACACTCTCTCTTGCTCTCTCTGTTGCCATCTTTTGAAGAAGGTGTCTGTTTCCCCTTCCACCATGATGTAAGTCTCCTGAGGCTCCCCCAGCAATGCAGAACTGTGAGTCAATTAAACCTCTTCTCTTTATAAATTACCCAGTCTCAGGTAAGTTCTTTATAGCAGTGTAAAAACAGACTAATAAAGGGAAGTCATCTCCCATGATTAAAGCACCTCCCACCAGTCCCCTCCCCTGACATGTGGGGATTACAATTCGAGATGAGATTTGGGTGGAGACACTGAGCCAAACCATATCATTCTGCCCCTGGCCCCTCCAAAATCTCATGTCCTTTTCACATTTCAAAACACAATCATGCCTTCCCAACAGTCCCCCAAAGTCTTAACTCAATTTGGCATTAATCTAAAAGTCAAAAGTCCAAAATCTCATCTGAGACAAGGCAAGTCCCTTCCGCCTATGACCCTGTAAAATCAAAAACAAGTTTGTTACTTCCAAGATTCAATTGGGGTGCAGGCATTGGGTAAATGCTCCCATTCCAAATAGGAGAAATTGGCCAAAACAAAGGGCCTACAGGCCCCATGCAAGTCTGAAACCCAGCAAAGCAGTCATTAAATCTAAAAGCTCCAAAATAATCTACTTTGATTCCGTGTGTCACATCCAGGGCATGCTGATGGAACAGGTGGATTCCCATGGTCTTGGGCAGCTCCCCCTCTATGGCTCTGGAGGGTACAGCCCCTGTGGATTCTTTCTTGAATGGCCATTGAGTACCTACAGCTTTTCCAGGTGCACAATGCAAGCTGTCAGTGGATCTACCATTCTGGGGACTGGAGCATAGTGGCCATCTTCTTAGAGCTCCACTAGGCAGTGCCCCAGTGGGGACTCTGTATGGAGGCTCCAACCCCACATTTCCCCTCTGCACTGCCCTAGTAAAGGTTCTCCATGAAGGCCCTGCCCCTGCAGCAGACTTCTGCTTGGATATCTAGGCAATTCCATACATCCTCTGAAATCTAGGCAGAGGTTCCCAAACTCTTGTCATGTGCACATCACAGGCCCAACACCACATGGAAGCAGCCAAGGCTTGGGGTTTACATCCTCCAAAGCCACAGCCTGAGCTGTACCTTGGCCCCTTTTAGCCACAGCTGGAGCTGGAGGAGCTGGGACACAGTGCACCGTGTCCTAAGCCTGTATAGAGCAGCTGGGCCCTGGGCCTGGGCCACAAAACCATTTTTTTTCTTCTTAAGCCCCAGGCCCTGTGATGGGAGAGGCTTCTGTGAAGGTCTCTGACATGCCCTAGAGACATTTTCCCCATTGTCTTGGCCACTATTATTTGACTTCTCTTTACTCATGCAAATTTCTGCAGCCGGCTTGAATTTCTACTCAGAAAATGGGTGTTTCTTTTCTACCACATGGTCAGGTTGCAAATTTTCCAAACTTTTCTGCTCTGCTTCTTTTTTAAACATAAGTTCCAATTTCAGACCACCTCTTTGTGAATGCATATGACTGTATCCTGTTAGGAGCAGCCAGGCTACATCTTGAATGCTTTGCTGCTTACCCAGATGTAAATTTCTTCTACCAGATACCCTAAATCATCTCTCTAGAGTTCAAAGTTCCACAGATCCCTAGAGCAGGGACACAATGCCACCAGTCTCTTTGGTAAAGGATAAGAAGAGTAACTTTTGCTCCAGTTCCCAATAAGTTCCTCATCTCTATCTGAGACCGCCTAAGCCTGAACTTCATTGTCTATATCACTATCAGCATTTTGGTCAAAACCATTCAACAATTCTCTAGGAAGTTCCAAACTTTCCCTCATCATCGTGTCGTCTTCTGAGCCCTCTAAACTGTTCCACTCTCTGCCTGTTTTTCAGTTCCAAAGTCACTTCCACACTTTCAGGTTATCTTTATAGCAGTGCCCTACTTTCCTGGTACTAATTTTCTGTATTCGTCCGTTTTTACACTGCTATAAAAGAACTACCTGAGATGGGGCAATTTATGAAGAAAAAAGGTTTAATTGATTCACAGTTCCACAGGCTTAACAGGAAGCATGATTGGGAGGCTTCCAGAAACTTACAATCATGGCAGAAAGTGAAGGGGAAGCAAGCACATCTTACCATGGTGGAGCAGGAAAGAGAAGTCCAGAGAAGGGGAAAGTGCCACACACTTTCAAACAACCAGATCTCATGAGAACTCACTTACTGTCACCAGAACAGCAAGGAGGAAGTCTTTCCCCATGATTCAATCACCTCCCATCAGGCCCCACCCACAACCCATGAGGATTACAATTAAAGATGAGATTTGGGGGGGGACACAGAACCAAACCATATCACATGCCAAGAAATTACATGCCAAGAAATTAAATAACCTAGATGAGATAGAGAAATTCCTAGATGTATACTACTACAACTGGCTTAAGAAGCAATAGAAAATCTGAATAGACTTGTAACAGGTAAAGAGATTAAATTAGTAATAATAATAATAATAATAACTCACAAAGAAGAGTCCAGAATCAATGTCACTGATGGACTCTACCAAATGTTTAAAAGTTAACACCAATCTTTCACAAACTCTTCCAAACAATAGAAGAGGAGGGAGTACTTCTCAACTCATTCTGTGAGGATAATTTTGTATGACACTAAAACCAGACAAAGAAACCACACATACACATACATACACACTTACACTTTCCCTTATACTACTTTCCCTTATATAAATGTAGACTACTTTCCCTTACAAATATAGATGAAAAATTTCTCAACAAAATATTAGCAACCAAATACAGCAACAAATAAAATGGATTATACACCATGACAAAGTCAGATTTATCCCAGGAATACAAGGTTGATTCAATATGTGAAAATCATCAGTGCAATATATCATACTAATAAAGGACAAAAAACACATATTATCTTAATAGACACAGAAAAATCTGCTAAAATCTCCAATCTTTTCATGATTAAAAAAAAAACTCAACAAACTAGGAATAGATAGGAATCTCCTTCACCTGATAAAGGACATCTACAAAGCCCCACAAAGAATATTATATTTAATGGTAGAAGACTGAAAGCCTTCCTTCTAAAATCAGGGACAAGCCAAGGATGTCCACTCACATAGCATCTATTAACATTATACTAGAGGCTCTACACAGAGAAAATTAGATAATTAAAAAAGAAATAAAAGGCATCCAGATTAGAAAGAAATAAAACTATCACTGTATGCAGGTTACATGATATTATTTATAGAAGATCCTAAGGAATTCACTTAAAAAGTTAAAGCTGATAAATGAGTTCAGCAAGGTTGTAGGATACAAGATCAATATATAAAAATCAATTTTATGTCTATACACTAGCAATGAACAGTCCAAAAATAAAATTCAAAAAAAATTCTATTTAAAATAGCATCAACAAGATACTTAGAATGAATCTAACAAAAGGTCAAGACTTGTGCACTGAAAAGTACAATACATCATTGAAAGAAATTAAAGAAAACCTAAGTAAATGGAAAGACATCCTATATTCATGGATTGGAAAACTAAATATTGTTAAGATGACAATACTCCCCAAATTATTATCAGCTTCAGTGCAATCCCTCTCAAAATTCCAGCTAGCTTTTTGCAGAAATTGACAAGTGGATCTTTAAAAAATGAAAAACATCTAGAATACCCAAAAAAATCATAAAAATTCATTTCAAAATGTATTGCAAAGCTATAGTACTGACATAAGAATAGGCATATAGGTCAGTAAAGTGGAACTGAGCATCCAAAAATAAACTTATACCTTGATGGACAATTGGTTTTTGGCAAGGATGCCAAGATAATTTACTAGTAAAATAAGTATTCGACAAATGGTTCTAAGAAAACTAGCTACCAATACTAAAAAGAAATTGGACCCCCCACCTCAAACCATATAAAAATTTTAACTCAAATGGATCATAGACCTAAATATAAGAGCTAAAACCTAAACACTCTTAGAAGAAGTAAATCTTCACGACCTTGAATTAGGCAATATTTTCCTACATATGACACCTAAAACACAAGAAACTAAAGTAAAAATAATCTAGTTTTACTTTCTATTGAACTTCAGAAAATTAAAACACATTGTGCTTCAAAGAACAACATCAACAGAGTAAAAATACAATCCACAGAATTCAAGATAATATTTGCAAATGATTGATGTGATCAGAGTCTAATATCAAGAATTTTTAGAAACTCTTAAATTCATCATTAAAATGGTAAATAACCCAATTTTGAAAAATGGACAAAGGGCTTGAATGAACATTTCTCTAAAGAAGATACTCAAATGGACAATGGGCCCATGAAAAGATGCTCAACATCTTTTATGGTCACAGAAATCCAAATTAAACACCAATGAGATATGAGGTACCACTTCACACCCACAAAGATGACTGTTCTCAAATACAAAAATAAAAAACATGACAAGTGTTAGGTAGCAAGGATGTAGAAAGAAATTTAAACTCTCATACACTGCTAGTGGGAGTGTAAAATAGTATAATAACTTTGAAAAACATTTTGGCAGTTCCTCAAAAAGTTAAACAAATGTAGAAACACAGAGTTACCTTGTGACCCAGTAATTCCCCTTGCAGGTACATAACTGAGAGAACTGAAACCTATTCACACAAAAATTTATACATGAATGTTCATATCATCATAAAGCCAAAATGTGAAAGCCATCCAAATATCCATGAACTGATAAATGGATAATTCAAATAGGCATATCCATACAACAGAATATTATTCAGCAAAAAAAAGTGAAATACTGCTACAACATGGATGAACATTTTAATATTATGCTAAGTGAAAGAAGCCAGACATAAAAGGCCATATGCTTTATGATTCTGTTATACAAAATATCGAGAAAAGGCAAATCCATAGAGACAGAAGGTGTATTAGTGGGAAGCGGGAAATAGTGAGTGCATGCTAATGGGCACAAGGTTTCTCTTTTGGATGATAAGGATGTTTTAGAATTTGATAATGATGATGGTTGTATAACCTTATGACTATACTGAATTCAATAATATTGTGCATTTAAAATGGTGAATTTTATACTATGTGAATTTTATCAAGAAGGAACAAGGAAGAAAAAACGGATATCACTGGATAAGGCCCATAGGATGGGACCCACACCAGATAAAACACAACTATAATTAAATTAATTTTAAATATTGAAAACCTGAAAAATAGACTATTATCTTGCCAATTTGTTCTGAGGTATGCCGAATTTAATTTACTTGCCCAAGTTCACAAAGCTAAGCCACTAAGTTGTGGAGTTTGGATACATTCTGACTACAAAACCATGTACTTAGCTATGGCATCTGCTGCCTCCTTTGGTCCGAGGGTAAGATAATTCCTCACATCTAGGATTACTGGCTAGAGAAATGGAAGGAGATAAACATTAAAAATAGAGGAGGTATATTTGTTTACATGAAAAATAAGGATGAGAAATAACCTTGGGCCATAGAGTTTGTCTAAAAATAAGAGTAACCTATAAAATAAGTTTCATCTGAATAAGTCATTCATCTTTAGGTAGTGAATATCCCTTTCATGACCATGTATTCCTAAGAGTGAATAGTTAGAACAAAATATTGAGTATATCCTCAGAAACTGAAATAACCTTTATGTAAGGCAAAAAGCAACTTCTTAACTCAGTTGACAAAAATTCTGCATAGTGTCATTAATGATAGTGTCAGATAGATAGCTCAATCCAAACAGTGCTTTGAGGCTAATGTCCGGGTTCAAATCTCATATGATTAGTTGTCATATTCTAATTGTACCCTTATCCCTGACAGTTACCTCAAAAACATGTCCTTGATTACAAAGGAGAAAAAAGATGAAATCATACAGACAAATAAAAACAAGATTCATCAACACCAAAAAAAAGCCATCCAAAAGGATTTCATTCTGATGCGATAATAGATCATTTTTATCACTGTATATGACGAACAGCACATAATACCATGTAGCACCTACATGCAATAATATCACTTTCACATTTGAGAAAAAACTAACCATTTTCCTTACATAATGACAACACAATTTTCTCTACTTAGGAGAACTAGTAAGAACTGTGTGACCTAGAAAGAAGAAGTTTTGGAGTAAACATCAAAGGAAAAATGATAGAGAATATAGTAAAGAACAAGACTTCCATTTAGAACAAATGGAGGTCTTAAAGATAAATAAGTCCCTTTGGGGAGAAAGTAGTATATTGTTAACAAATGACAAAGACCACAGATCTATTCAACTCTTACTTTTTTCCCATTTTCACCAATGAAATCAATGATAGTATTGAAATCCCTGTAAAACACTATCAGAAAGAATAACTGAATGGAATGGTTAAAAAAAGGGGAAAATGTACACAACAAGATAAGACTATATCTAAATTATTTAAATGATGCCAGTCTCCATATTCATATATTATATCCCAAAGCATGAGACACAGAATTCATGTAGTTTTTAAAGATCTGAAATGATGGAATATATAGAACCTAAGTAAATTTCTTAAACAGGTATAATGGTTCCAGAAACTATGAGGTTTAACCTTACCTTAGAGAAAATCTCAAGTGTGGCTTATTAAACTATTGGGGAAAATGAGAAGGAAAGTATAGTCACTGGAAAAATACATGAAATATAATCTTCCCAAATGTATGACTTTAGATTTTACTAGACTATAAATTAATATAATAATAAAATCCCCTTTTATAATTTTCAAAACATTTTGACAGGTGTAACACCAATTACTGAAGAAAAGTGTCTTATGTGCCAGGCAGCGGCAGGAAGGCAACTATTCCTATGTCAAAGAGTAGTTCCTATAATTAACATATATATAGTGCAGAGTAGACAACATGGCATAAACTTGTTTCTCTTTGCTCATCCTCACTAAATACAAATATAAACCCAGGAAATAATGCAAGAAGGCGTTAAAAGAGAACACTGAAATATGGAAAGGGGAAGATAGACTGATTAAGGACTCCAGGTCTGGAAGAACACAACAGTTGGCTTTTTCATGACCTCTAACTCAACAGAAGAAGGTAACCCAGGCCGGGCATTTTCAACATCCATTCTATCAACAGAAGGTAACCCACATAGGATCTTTTTTTTTCCCCAGTCCTAATGCGAGTCCCAACGACAATATTAGATGAGCCTAGCAGTATTGGCAGATTGATCAGAAATCCCAAGGACAATAAAAGGACACAGAAAGCACTCCTTCTCTGCTGGGCCTGAGACTATGCTCTCCTACTGAGGGTTGTCGTACAGCACCAGCAAAGAGGAATCACATCAAGTCCAGTGGCCTAGCTTAGGAAGCCTCTTGCTCTTTATGGGCCAGAAAATCCTTTTTCCTAGGCAGTACGAACACACACACAGACACAAAGTCTGCCTAGGAAGTACTTGTCATCCCCATAGAATTCCTTCTCCTAGTTAGAGTCACCAGAAAGCCTGGACTGGGTAAGTTCCTTGACCTCCCTCAGGCAGCACCAGAAGGAATGCATGAGAGCTCAGGCATCACCAGACACCAAACAGATGAAAACAGCACCACAAGAGCTCTTAAAATTAAACTTCTACTGGAACTGCAATCAACAAAAGTAGGCCAGGACCTAAAGACTAAACCTAAAAGTGATGACTGCCTGGCCTGCTAAAATCAAGATTTAAATAGGAACCAAAGCCTCCTAACATCGTAACCAAACTGTCCATAATACAATTTTAAAAATCACTCCTTATATGAAGAACCAGAAAAATCACAGCTTGAATGAAAAAAAAAGCAATCAACTCACATCAACAGCAAGATGAATTAGAAGCTGCAATTATCGGACAACGATTTTAAAGCAGCCATCATAAAAATACCTCAACAAAGTACAATTTTTAAAAAAGAGAAGGAACAATGATGAATTGAATATATGGAATACAAAACTGTAAAAGTGATTTAAAAATACTTCAACAAGCAATTACAAATTTCTTAAAACAAATGAAAAAACAGGAAGTCTGGAGTATATAGCAGAATTTGTAAATAATAATAACCAAATGGAAATAATAGAACTGAGAAGTACAATAACTAGTGGGAAAAAGCTCACTAAATGAGCTTGATAGTACAGTGAAGATGACAAGGGACAGACTCAGTGATCGACAGAATTTATACAATCTGAACAAAAGAGAGAAAGCTGATCTTAAAAAGTGAAAAGTGCCTCAGGAACCTGAGAGACAATTAGCAAAAGATCCAACTCATATCATTAGATTCTCAAAAGGAGAAAAGAGATTGAAGCTGAAAAGGTGCTTGAAGAAATGACTGAAAGGGTCCCAATTTTGGCAAAGGACATATGTACACAGATGCAAAAATCTGAGCAAATCTCAAATATGATAAAACAAAATAAATTCAATTCAAGGACATTATAATTAAACTTCTGAAAAATAAAGACAAAATATTTAAAAAACAACCAGAGAGAAACAGTACATTGTGTATAGGGAAAACCAGTTTGAATGACAGATTTTTCATCTGAAACCATGGAGGCCAGAAAAAATATGGTGCAATGTTTTTCAAGTGCTAAAAGCATAGTCAACTATGTATTTTAGAATCAGTGAAACTATTCTCCAGAAACAAAGAAGAAATAAAGAAATTCCCATAGAAAGATAAACTAATTTGCTGATAGTACACATTCCCTTAAAGAACAGCTAAAAGAAATTCCTCAAACAGAAAAAAAAATGATTAAAAAATGATAAAACGAAATGAATGATAATATTGAAATCCCTGTAAAACACTATTGGAAAGAACAACAGTATGGAACGGTTAAAGAAAGGGAGAAATGTACACAATAAGATAAGAGTATATCAAAATTGGCTGGGCACAGTGGCTCATGCCTGTAATCCCAGCACTTTGGGAGGCTGAGGCAGGCAGATCACTTGAGGTCAGGAGTTTGAGACCAGCCTGACCAAGATGCTGAAACTGTCTCTACTAAAAATACAAAAATTACCCAGGCATGATGATACACATCTATAATCCCAGCTAATTGGGAGGCTGAGGCAGGAGAACCACTTGAACCTGGAAGGCAGAGGTTGCAGCATGCCACTGCACTCCAGCCTGGGAGACAGAGTGAGACTCTGTCTCAAAAAAAAAGAGTATATCAAAATTATTTAAATGATGCAAGTCTCCATAGTCATATATTATATTCCAAGCATGAGATACAGAATTCATGTAGTTTTTAAAGATTTCAAGTGACAGAATACAGAGAATATAAGAAAAAAATTTTAATAGGTACAGTGGTTCCAGAAACTATGAGGTTTAACCTTACCTTGGAGAAAAACTCAAGTGTGGCTTATTAAACTGTTGGGAAAAACAATAAGGAAAATATAATCTTGGAGCATCAGGAAGGAAAAAGAGTCACTGAAAGAACACAAATATGAGTACATAAAATAAACTAACTCCCATGAATTTTATAAATCATATTGACTATTGAAAAAAATTATAATGCTATCTGATACTTAATACGATGGTATTTAAAAGCAGAAAACATAAAGGAATTTAAACAGCAGTAAGGTAAACACTTCATTAGAAGTAGTAAAATGTTGATAACACTGTGATAAGAAACATATGTATATTATAATATACAAAGGAACCACTAAGAAATATATACAAAAAATACACTAAAAACAACATAAATCAATCAAGATGGAAGCCTAAGAAATGTTCAAATAACCCAAAAGAAGGCAAAAAGAAACATAAAAAAGAAACAGAGGTAACAAATAGAAAATAACTAATAAAATGACAGACTTATGCCCTAAAATATTAATAATTACCTAAAATGTAAACTATCTAAAATCATCAATTAAAAGGCAGAGATTGGAAACGTGGATAGAAAAATACATTCTAACTCTATGCTATTTACATGAAAGTCACCTCAAATTCAACAATAAAGGTAGATTGAAAATAAAAGGATGGAAAATTATATACCATGCAATAAAAAAAGAAGCTGTATTAATACCTGATAAAGTACCACTCAGATCAAGGAAAATTCACAGAAAATTACTAGGGGCAAAAACGGATATTACATAATGATAAACAGAACAATTCAAAAATAACTGAATGAAAATGAAGATACAATAGATCAAAATATATGGGTTCAGCTAAAGTATTATTGAGAGGAACATTGATAATGCTAAATGTTCATGTGGGAAAAGATCTCAATTTAATAACCTAAGATGCTACCTCAAAAAACTAGAAAAAGAAAATTGCAAACTAAACCCAAAGCAAGCAAAAGGAAAACGGTAAATATATGAACAGAAATGAATAAAATTGAAAACAGAAAAACAATAGAGAAAATCAATGAAATCAAAAGCTGCTTGTTCAAAAAAATTAATAAAATTGGCAAACCTCTAGCAAGACTGAATATATTTTTAAAAAAGAGAAGAAAAAGTTAGCAATATAAACAATGAAACAGAAAATACCACAACAGATACTGCAGCCATTTAAAAACTGATAAAGGAATACTACAAAGTAATGCTCATAAATTCAACAACTTAGAAAAAATGTAACAATTCCATGAACACCACAAACTGCCAAATCTTGATTATGATGAAGAAGTGAATAGCGCTATAACCATTAAAGAAATTGAATCCATAACTTAAAACTTCCAAAAAAGAAATCTCTAGGCTAAATGGTTCCACTGGAAAATACTACCAAGTGCTTAAAGAATAATTAACATCAATTCTGCATAATCTCTTCCAGAAAGTAGGGAACACTTCTAAGCTCATTTATGAAGTATTATCTGAATATCAAAATCATACAAAGATAGGATTAACCTAAAAACTATAGACTAATATCACTCATAAAATTTACATGTAAAAACCCCCAACAATATAAGCAAAAAAAAAATTATCAAATTGAGTAATATATAAAAAGAACTAAACACCATGACGAACTGAGGCTTATTCCAGGTATAAAAGGTTGTTTCAACATTTGAAAATTAATGAATGCAATCCCCCATACTAATACCTAAAGATGAAAAATTACATGTTCATATCAGTTGATGTATAAAAAGCATTTGACCAAAAAGAGACAAAAAATACCTCTCAGCAAGTTAGGAATAGAGTGGTACTACCTTTATTTGATAAAGAACACCCACAAAAAACCTACAGCTAACAATCATTCCAAAGATGTACCTTTACAATCATTCCAAAGAAACTAAAATAATCAGGTATAATTTTATCAATTTTATCAAAACATGCACAAGATCTGTATGCAGAAAATTATTAAGTGCTGATGAAAGAAACCAAAGATCTACATAAAAGGATATACATACTGCGTTCACAGTTTGAAAGATTTAACATAGTAAAGATGTCAGTTCTCCCTCAATTGATTTATAGGTGTCTTAGTCCATTCCAGCTGCTACAACAAAACACCATAGACTGGAAACCTTATCAACAATAGAAATGTATTTCTCACAGTTCTAAAGACAAGGAGTTCCAAGATCAAGGTGCTGGCAGATCTGTTGTTTAATGAGGACCCACTTCCTAGTTCATAGACAACCATCTTTTTGCGATGTTCTCACATGGTAGAAGGGGAGAGGGAAGTCTATAAAGTCTCTTTTATAAGAGAACTAATCCCATTCATGAGGGCTCTACCTTCATAAGCTAACCATTTCCCAAAGGCCCTACTGCCAAATATCATCACATTAAGGATCTGATTTCAACATATAAATTTTGGAGGGACATAAACATACAGTCTGTGGCATTCTGCCTTTGACCCCCTTCCCCAAAATTCATGTTTTTCTCATGTGCAAAATACATTTTTTCCACCCTAATAGCCCCAAAAGTCAAAACTTATCTCAGCTACAAATTTAAAGTCTAAGTCCAAAGTCTCACCAAAATATCACCTAAATTAGATATGGAAGAGATAAAAGGTCTAATTCATCCTAGGCAAACTTCTCTCCACTTGTGAACCTGTGAAACCAACATTTTATGTGCTTCCAAAATGCAGTGGTGGGACAGGCATAGAATAGGCATTCCTATTCCAAAGGGAGCAATCGGCAAGAAGTAGTGACAGGTCTCAAGTCCAAAACCCAGTGGAGCTAATTCCATTAGACCTTAAAGCTTGAGAATAATCTTCTTTGGCTGTATGCTGTACCCTCAAGGCCCACTGAAGCAGAGGTCCTGCCCAATAGACACACTTGAACAGTGGTCCTGCCCACAAAGCTTTGCCAGGTAGGGGGACCCCAAGGCTCCATGTAGCACTGCTCCTTTGGGTTTAGGTGGCCCTGTCACACCCAGCAGCTCTGTACCTTGGCCCCCACCCCCATGGCTGTTCTCTGCCTGGGCCCTGTGCCTCTGCTGGGAGGCCTGATCCTTTGAAATCTAGGTAGGAACAACATGGCTCCTCAGCTTTGCTGGGTGGAGCAGCCACACCACACCAGGGCCCTCCAGAGCCATACCTGAAGCAGCTGAGTGTGAAGCTGCTCCATACCATGAGCACTGGAGTGAAGTCAGCAGAGGCTGCAATGTGAGGAGGCGCCAGGCAGGGCACACTGCAATCCTACATGTGCCAGCGGCCTCTACACTGTGATGGGGGTGGCAGCTCTGATTATCTCTGAACTGCCTTCAGGGTCATTCTTCCATTGTCTTGAACAGCTCCTGACTTCTGTTTAAAGGGCTAACAAATCTTATCAAACAGTCATTTGGCCATACCCTTTGTGTTCTTTCTTGAACATGCTTTCTCTATTTTTACAATACAAATAGGCTAAGAATCTCCCAAACCTTTATGTTCTGCTTGCTTTTTAATTAACAATTCTGCCTTTAAGTCATTTCTCTCTTCTTCCATTTTACTATAAATGGTCAGGAAAAACCAGGTCACTTTTCAACACTTTGCTTAGGAATTTCCTCAACCAAAATACCCAATTTCATCACTCACAAGTTATACCTTCCACAAAATACTAGAACATGAACACAATTCAACCAAGTTCTTTGACACTTTATAACAAGAATGACCTTTACTCCATTATTCAATAACATGTTCCTCATTTCCATGTGAGATCTCATCAGAATGGCCTTTACCATCTATTTCCACCAACACTCTCTTCAGGATTATTTAGGGATTCTCTAGGAAGACTGAGGCTTTCTCTAAAGCTCTCCTCTTTTCTTTCTGAGCCCTTACCAGAATCATCCTTAATAGTCTGTTCATAGCAATGCAGGCTCTTTCTAGAATGTATGTCAAAACTCTTCCAGCCTCTACCCATTACCCACTTCCAAAGCCACATCCATACTTTTTGGTATTTGTAACAGCACTACCCTCACTCCTAAGTACCAATTTCTCCCTCAGTCCATTCAGACTGCTATAACAGAATACCATAAATTAGGTGGCTTATCAACAACAGAAATTTATTTCTCACAGTTCTGGATGTTGGGAAATCCAAGATCAAGGTGCCAGCCGACTGGGAGCTCTCTTCCTGGTTCATAGACAGGCATCTTCTCACTGTGGCTTCACATGGCATAAGGGGCAAGAGAAGCCTCTGGGGCCTCTTGTATATAGACACCCATCTCACCCATGGGGCCTCCACCATCATGACCTAATCCCCTCCCACAGGTCCCACCTGCTTCTAATGCTATCACATTAGGGATTAGGTTTCAACATACGAATTTGGGGAGGTCACAAATATTCACTATGTAGCAATAGGTTTAAAACAATTCCTATCAAAAATCTCAGTGAGGAAGTTCGTATGCAATGACAAGCTTATTCTAAAATTTATATGGAAATGCACAGGTCCTAGAATAGCTAAAATAATACTGACAAAGAATAAAGTGGGAATGATCACTCTACCAACCTGTCTGTACAAAAGAAAGTATGATACTGGTGAGAATGGAGACAAATACACTCTATTGGTTTTTTACAGTGGTACAAAAGCAATTCAGTGGGAAAAGGGTAGACTTTTCAACAAATGGCCTTGGAGCAATTAGACATTCATAAGCAAAAAAATTGAACCCCAACTTAAACCAACGTAATGGAGAAAATCATCTGAATCTAGAGCTAGGCAAAGAGTTCTCAGACTTGATACCAAAAGCACAACCCATAAGAGGAAAAACTGATAAATTGGACCGATTCAAAATTTAACATTCTTGCTCTTTGAAAGACCATTTTAAGAGAATAAAAAGACAAGCTAGAGACTGGGAGAAAATTTTCCAAAACACACATCCAACAAAGGACTGGTATTCAGAATATATGAAGAACTCTCAAAACAAAACAACAAACAATCCAATTAGAAATGGAAAAAAGACACACGTGCAGACATTTCACTGAAAAGGATATACAGATGACAACACAAGAAAAAAAATGTTCAAATCATTAGCCATTAAAGAAATACAAATCAAAAACTACAGTGTGATATCATTACATACCTATCAAAATGGATAATTTTTTTAAAAAAGTCATAACATCAAATGCTGGCAAGGATATAGAGAAACTAGATCACTTATAATTGCTGGTGCAGAAACTCTGAAAAACAGTTTGGCGGTTTCTTTAAGAACTAAGTATGTAATTATCACATGTACCAGCAATTGCATTCTTGGGCATTTATCTCAGAGAAACAAAAATTTATATTCACACAAAACCTTGTACACCATTATTCATGTTCATAATAGCCCCAAACTAGAAACAACCCAGATGTCCTTCAACAGGTTAATAGTTATACAAATTGTGGTACATATCCATACCATGGAATACTTCTCAGCAATAAAAAGGGACCAATTATTGATACACACAATAATTTGGATGACTATCCAGAGAATTCTACTTTGTGAAAAAAGCCAGTCCCCTAAAATATATATACTGTATGATTCCATTTATATAACATTCATGAAACAACAAAATTATAGAAACAAAGAAAAGATTAGGGGTTACCAGGAGCTAAGGATGAGGTTATGAAGGGGAAGCAAAGAGGAAGTAGATATGTTCACATAAAGGTAACACCAGGGATCTTTGTGATGGTGGAAATACTCTCTATCTTGACTGGAGTGGTAGATACACAAACACACATGAGATAAAATGGCATAGAACACAATATTTTGTATACACAAAGGAGTACAAATAAAACTAGGGAGATCGGAATAGGATGGATAAACTACATCAATGTCCATATCCTGGTTATGATAACAGACTACAGTTTGCAAGATGTTACCATTGGGGAAAACTGAGTAAAGGGTACATAGGATCACTCTGCATTACTTCTTACAAGTGCATGTGATAAAATCTTTAATTACCTTAAAATAAAGAGTTTAATTTTAAAGAATACCTAATACATATATAAACCACTTAGCACAGTGTTTAGCCTAGAAAAAAAATGTTAGCTATTATTGTTTTTCACCAGCATGTTCAACTCTGGAGACAACAATTTAAGACAACTGTAAACATCAGAAGACCTTGATGAGGAGGACCTTCTTGACTTCTGCAAACCATGTTAATACTTTGGGATTGAAGAAATTAGAATCATTTACCATGGAGTACGGAAGACTAAAGGAAACATATCAGTCATTAAAAGTGCTGAAATAGTAGAAGCAACATACTCTATTAATTCCTAGAGCCATGTTAGGGCCATTTCAAGAGAAATTTTTATTTTTTGGTATAAAAATAAAACTATAACCATTCAAGCTGGCTCTTAACTAAAAAGTTTATCTTGAAAATATTTGCAATAACCCCCACTGGATTCATTCGGTAGGGACACAAATCAGGGCTTTCTCAGGGCAAACACCAGAGAACACATATATGGTCCTGGCCAATGCCCATAATTCAGAGATGCCCGGGAGGAGATTCAAGCTTGGAGTCAGAACCTGAAACTTTAAAGATCACTTGCAATCATGACTCTGTGATTCTGCATGACAAAAATCCGAACACCTTGGTAAAGCTACAGACTTAAATCTAAAATTTAAAAGTAAGGGAAACGTGCATGGGGTTGGCAATAAAACTTTTGAAAAAATGAGGGTTTTTTTTAAAGTGAACTATCAATGAATTTCTAAATATTATAGTTCAATTCAGTATTACATATTCCAGTTATGTAGTTACTGCGGCCAAAAGCAATTGATTAAAATATTAGCCTCTTGAAAAGTAACCAGATACTAAAGCAACAAAAAAATAAATACTAGCCATTTAGCTCATAAGGGAATTGTGGTTATCAGTTAGTGAGTGATCTCATAGCCTTTCATGATCTTGTAATAAGAGTACTCATACAGGCATAAATCACCACTATGATCAGGCTTTGAAGCCCATAGTATCTCATCAGACTATCTAATGGGGATATGTATTATCTGCCCAAAGGAGCTGATAGGATTCTTCAATGTTTTAGTCATGTTTCAACACTCAGGCCTGCATAATCATATACTGACAATTAAGCAAATGAGAATTCTCACACTTTAAAAGCTGGTATATTAGTAGCTCTTAATATTTATTACACAAGTATATGTATTACTAGAGTCTAGAGCTAATAAAGATGGTTTTAATGCTTCCAACTAATATTTTCAATATTCAGTAAGGTAATCAATTTGTCCAATTTTAAGCAGCATAGCTCCATAAATGAGGTATTTGGCATGGAACCTGATTTGAAATGCATTCTTTTCTCAAGCGATTGAATAGTTGCAATGAAAATTTATAATTTGTGGTATATTATAGAAGAAAGTGGATTGAATTTCTCTATCAAAATTATGCATGGTTCAAAATCTTTTGTGCTCTAACACATAGAAACTGGCAGACAAATGCAATTACATTAAATATGCTGTCATCCAGAACATCTGAAGAATGCTATTTATCTAATCTTATCAATTTAAGCATATTCTGCTACCATAGCTGAGTACAAATGCCAGGCCATGACCATCACATTAATACCATGAGGCTATACCAAATGCCATTTCTAGAAATCAGTGGAGAGAATTTTATTGGGTCCAGGCTATTTCACTTGAAGGCAATTGTCAGATCAATCTGTGTCTAACTTAATTTGTAACTTGATTTATACCTACAATGTTTGCAGATTAGACAACTGATTAAGAAGGGATTGATTTATTCTCAGAAAAATGGACCTAATAAATAGCATTATCACTTTTCACAGAAATTAACACACTATTTCCAAAACATATAAATTATTCAGTAGATTAATAAAGGAGAGTACCTTCTTTGCAAATAAGCAATTTCAGTGAAGATATTACTTATGACAATTCCATGACATTTAGAAATTCCTGCATTTATCAGAATATACAAGTTGTAAATTTATACTAAATGATCTCATTATTGTATGTAGGGTGCAGTTTATATAAAGATAGATATTATTCATGAAATAGCATGTCAGTTTAGCTTTGAAATCATCTCTAATGTAAATAAAGGTAATTGTTTTTTAAAAGACAAATATGTGGCTCATTATATGTACCAAGACTGTTTGTGTATTGTCATTATAAACTTGAATAATGTAAGCTGTACTTTTTAAAACTAAAGTTCTTCATGTGTTTTGCCCCAGATGATGAAAACCAACTTCTGTCCTCAGATTTAAAACTGAGAGCACAGGCAATAAAAAAAAAAAAACCTGTATTTTCTTTTTATTGCTTAGAACCTAAGCAATAAAAAAATTAATTTATCAACTTCATTTACCATTTTACATTTAAAATTGAATATAAATGTAATAACTAGCTATAAGTTTATTTTATTTGTTTTTGTCACCCAAAAGATATCATTAGAATTAACTGATTTTTTTTAAAATTACAGTGAAAGTGGCTTTCACATCGGGCTGAAATTATAAACCAAGAATAGCTACATCGTTTTGAAAATACTATTTTGAAGTTTTTCAACTTGGTCAGGTGATCTCTGCCCCCTCCCAACCATCAATATGCACAGTAGCAGATTAGAGAATGGGGTCAACTATGTTCACTGAAAGAACAGTTACATTCAGTCACCATTTGCTATACCCTCATCTTCACCCACAATTATTTTCAACTCTCTTAAGCCATTTTTTGCCCCTACTGCCACTGAATGTCCTTTGACAAGGATGAAAATGACTAATCTCATCATCAGTATGGATTCTTTTCAGTATGCATCTCACTTCTCCTCTCTATAAATGAACATTGTAGAAGACTCCTTTCTACTTGGAACTCTTCCTTGAACTCGCAAACCACCACCTTCATTTATTTCTTCTTACTCTTTGGTAATTCCTTCTCCATCTCTTCTCTGAGCTGCTTTTCCTCAACCCCTAAGTGTTAGTGGGCCCCCACAAGTCTAGCCCTGGATTTCTTTTCAAACTTCTTGGATAATATCATTAACTTCTAAGCCTTTTTTCACCATATATATGGTTCCCAGGCTTTTTTTCTCCAATTTATTTATGAAATATTTATGAGCACTTTCTATATACCAGACTTTCTTCTGGTTGATGGGCATTAGGTCACATGCTGTCACCTGCCTCTTTCAAAGGCATCACAAATCCAACATCTCAAAAATAATACTTTTAGCTAAAATCTGCTTACTCTTAGATTTCTTTTTGTGGAAGCTGGTGCCACCCATTCATCTAGACCCCAACAGAATTAGGGATTTCTGCTTTCTCATGTCCACCAGTGAGTGAGCAGTCAACTTGATCTCCTTTATGTTTTTTATTTGTTGTTTTTTCTTTGCTCCTGCAGTATCTTATAATTTCTTATGTTGTTTCTGAAACTTGCTCTGTGTCTACTTTCAAAATCTTCCAATTCATCTTCCACAGTACTATTTTGCAAAAACATCAATTTAATATGTTGCTTACTGCTATAGTGTGAATGCCCCCTCCCAAACTCATGTTGAGATTTAATTCCTATTGTGATGATATTAAGAGGTGGGACCATCAAGAGATTACAAGGTCATGAGGGCTCTGCCCTCATGAACGGATTAATGTTGTTTTGCAAGAGTGGGTTCATTATCATGAGAGTACATTGTTATAAAAGCACGTTCTACTCATGGAGATAGAGAATAGAAGAATGGTTACCAGAGGCTGGGAAGAGTAGTAGTGGAGGAGATGGGTATGATTAATGGGTACAAAAAAAATAGAAAGAATGGGCCAGGCACGGTGGCTCACGCCTGTAATCCCAGCACTTTGGGAGGCTGAGGCAGGTGGATCACTTGAGGTCAGGAGTTTGAGACCAGCCTGGCCAACGTGGTGAAAACCCCGTCTCTACTAAAAATACAAAAATAAGCCAGAGATGGTGGCAGGCGCGTGTAGGTGCAGCTACTCAAGAGGCTGAGGTAGGAGAATCGCTTGAACCCAGGAGGTGGAGTTTGCAGTGAGCCAAGATCGTGCCACTGCACTCCAGCCTGGGTGACAGAGCAAGACCGAACCTGGGAGGTGGAGGTTGCAGTGAGCCAAGATCGTGCCACTGCACTCCAGCCTGGGTGACAGAGCAAGACAAAAAAAAGAAAGAAAGAAAGAGAGAAAGAGAGAGAGAGAGATGAAGGAAGGAAGGAAGGAAGGAAGAAGGAAGGAAGGAAGGAAAGAAGGAAAGAAGGAGTAAGACCTAGTATTTTGATAGCACAACAGGGGGACTATAGCCAATAATAATTTAATTGTACATTTTAAAGTAACTAAAAGAGTATAATTGGATTGTTTGTAACACAAAGGATAAATGTTTGAGGGGGTGGATATCCAGTTTTCCATGATGTGATTATTACACATTGCATGCCTGTACCAAAATATTTCATGAACCCCATAAATATATACGCCTACTATATACCCATAAAAATTTTTTTGAAAAGGCAAGTTTGACCCTCTCCTGCTGGTTTACTCTCACTTTCTCTTGCCTTTCTGCCTTCTGGTATGGGACGGTGCAGCAGAAAGATCATCACCATACGCCAGTGCCATGCTCTTAGATTTCCCAGACTCTAGGACAATGAGCCAAATAAATTTCTGTTCATTAGAAACTATCCAGTCTGTGGTATTCTGTTATAGCAACATAAAATGGGCTAAAACACTTGCTGATCATATTGTTTATGAAAGCCTCAGAAAAACATCTAAACCCCTTAGCAAAATATAGAAGACATTTTGTTGCTAGTTGTAGGAAATAATAGCTACACTTTATCAGTGCTTACTGCATGCCATTGTGCTAAAGCTCTAAAAACACAATTTATTGTTTATTTTCAAAAAATCTGTGAGAAAGAGGGTGGAATCATTATCCCCATCTTAAACATGATGAAATAGAGAATCTGATAAATTAAATAATTGCTTAAAGCCACAAGCTACCAAGTGACAGATTTGAGGTTCACCCAAATCTCCTGTCTCCCAGGCCCATTCTCTTAATCACAGTGCTGTACCACCTCCCTTGTTGCTCCAGGTCCATCATTTTCCAGTACTCTCCATTTGAGCCATGCCAACCCCTCTGGAAGATCCCAACATGCTTATCCAGGCTGCCATCCAGAATGTCTTTTCTTACTTGTACTCTTGTAGAAAACACTGACTCCTCTCAAGCACTTTATAAGGAATGGTTTCTAAATCTGTTCTGAAAGCAATTTCTAAGAACTTTCTAAAATGCCACAAGCAGTAACAGGCTTTGGTGTCATTTCATAGCCTCCTGATGTATATGATATTCGGGGGCAGCTCTTACTTGGCACAAATACAGACAGAACATTTCTTAAAGAAGCCTCAAAAATTTATATTTATAACTCGTAAAGTAGATAATAATTTTGGCCAATAGCTTTGGTAGATAACAGCACAGGTAAATAGCCTTCAAAAATGAACACGTATACATTTATACACTTAACAAAAGTAAATGTGAACTAATTTGGGGGGGTACTATATTCAAGCAAAAGAACATTATCTTGGGAGTCAGACCCACTTGGATTTAAAATTTTCTACCACTTACCATATATGTATTCTAGGGTATGATACTTAGCCCTCTAGGCCTAGTTTTTCCATTTTTAAAATAGGAGTGAAATGACTAGATCATAGGGCTTTGCGAGCATTAAATGAGAAAATGCTTATAAAGGTCCCAATGTAGCTCCTAGAAGAGAAACATTTTAGTTGCCTTCCAAACCTCATTTCTCCCCTTTCCTCAGTGCTGCAACTCAAAAATGCCAGCATCAACTATACTACAGACTCTTTAATGAGATCTCATGGGACAACCAAAATATGTCATGTCTACTATTTTACTTTACCCTGAAAAAAATCTAGACTGCCACATTTAGAGACTGGAGATGGCAGGAAGTTGAAGGGTTCATTCAAAAAGACCTGGTAGATCTTTTTTATGAAAAGCTGTCAAATATTACGACATCTCCTACTCATGATCAATTTATATCTGCATTACTACAATGGAAGAATCCCCTGCTTCACAGAAGCATTGAAGTTAACCCAGACATTCTTAGAAAAACATCGGTGGGTGACCCTACACCATTCATTAAGCGCTCTTCTGCACAGAGCCCTGTGGTGGACACCACACAGGCAGTTAACAGAGCTTTTCTCCATGAACTTGAAGTATGTAATTAAATGAGAGAGAGGAGAGAGAGAGAGAAGCAGTCTCCCCAGCTTCGTCTCCGAACTTGAAAGCATTCTGGGTGGTAACAACCGGCAGGACTTCTGGCAGAAGTGGTGGAATCTTTGGGAGCTCTGAAGCACCAAATTGAGACTAGTATGTATGACTGTGTGGCAGCTGCAAGCCCCACACAATGAGAATGTTGGCAAGTCATGCAGAAAATAGAGCCAGGAATAATACTGAGCAGCAACAGCAGAGCCTCTAAACCTGACCATTCCTCCACATGTTTTAAACATATGTTTAGCCTAGCAGGGGTCACAGGGACAGCTGAAAAGCCCCTTCCGAAGCTGTCAGAGACAACATTTGTAAAAGCTTCCTGATGCCTTAAAGTGCCAATAAGGATGGTTTCCTCTCATGTGAGCATGAAATGTGCCTGAGAGAATGCAGCATATAGCCCCAGAGGGTGCAAGAGACGTAACCAAGAGACCAGGATATTTCCCTGGGGCCAGGCCACCAGTCCAACTCCCACAGCAGCTGGAAATTATCGTCTTACAGCCACAGAAGCTGAGAACTAGGCTGTCCCATTTCCCCGCAAGTCCCCTAGGGAAACGCCGAACTGTAGCTGGAACATCTCAGCTTCCAAGCTCTAAACAAAACACCAGGCCATTTGTCTTACATGGCATATCTCAATAAACATGATTTGGAATGCATAATTTGGTATTTCTAAACTATATAATCAAATAAATTCCCGTTACTGGCAAAAGAGCAGGAGCACCACAGGAGTAACTGCATAGCGAGTTTACCGTAAGTGTGTCTCTGCAAGCTTACTGAATGATCACTTTCTTCATTTGGCCCTTTCTTTTGCTAAAATATTTTGCAAAATAATACACCATTGTTCTGGCCCTATTAATATAATAATTGTACAATCTTACCTTAAAAAGAAACTTGGCCAAAAACAAATGAAATCACTTAAAAAATAAAGCAATCCTTTTTTGAGACGAGTGCTTGCCCTGTCACACAGGCTGGAGTGCGATGGCGTGATCTCGGTTCACTGCAACCTCCACCTCCCGGGTTCAAGTGATTCTCCTGTCTCAGCCTCCTGAGTAGCTGGGATTACAGGTGCCTACCACCACACCCAGCTAATTTTTGTATTTTTAGTAGAGACGGGGTTTTACCATGTTGGTCAGGCTGATCCTGAACTCCTGACCTCAGGTGATCCACCTGCCTCGGCCTCCCAAAGTGCTGGGATTACAGGCGTGAGCCACCATGCCCAGTCCATTCCTTTTAAATAATTTCAAATGAAATGGATATGTCATAAAAATTCACAGCTACAAGTGATGCCAAGTCAGTACTCATATCTCTGAATGAAAGATGCAGTGTCACATTTCAACAAACTAGCACAGAATAATATTGCAAAGACAGATTTAGAAATCCAAAAATCTGTCATGCTGACTTCATAATGAAAAGTTCCTTCTTAGAGTACTTTATAAGTAACTATAAATTCAGCTATTATAGAAATCACTGGAAACCCAAGCCTCTTGCCTCTTGCCAGTCACAATATCATTGCTCCATTTAATGTCGCATGGGTGACACCCAAAATTTAGTCTCTCAAGCCAAAGGGAGGGCAGTTATTTTTAGAATCTAGTAAAGTGATTTTGAAAAGCTAGGAGAAACTTCCCTGGGGCGACACAGACGTGAGATTAAAGTCAAACCCACACAAGGAAGTTAACAAGATCTCACAAGTCAGAGCATAAAAAGTTTCCTACAGATGGATATGTTACTTTGCAGGACTGTAGTAATCATTTCACTATGTACAATATTTGCTATATATATCAAAACATCATGTTGTATACCTTAAATATATGTATACAAAAAACAAAAAGTTGGCCACGCATGGTGGCTCATGCCTCTTATCCAGGCACTTTGGGAGGCCAAGGCAGGTGGATCACTTGAGGTCAGGAGTTCGAGACCAGACTGGCCAACACGGTGAAACCCCGTCTCAACTAAAAATACAAAAATTAGCTGGGTGTGGTGGTGGGTGCCTGTCATCCCAGCTACTTGGGAGGCTGAGGCACTAGAATCACTTGAACCCGGGAGGCGGAGGTTGCATGAGCTGAGATCGCACCACTGCACTCCAGCCTGGGTGACAAGAGAGAGACTCCGTCTCAAAAACAAACAAACAAACAAACAAACAAAAAAACAGTTTCTGAGTGCAGTACTATGGTTCTATCAATAGCACCTCAATAATAAAAGGTGAGCGTAATGACTGGTCCTGAAATAAGCCTGAAAAAGTGAGAACGTATACCCAAAGAGCAAGGATACCCAAATGTACATTTATTTCACTGGAACTTTTTTTAAAGAGTGGAGGTTTCCAGTATGAATCACCTCTTGGGTTACTAAATTGCATAAATTTATCAAACACATTTTCAATTATTGTGCTATATTTACCTCTTTCAAATTTAAAAAAGTGTTCCTATTCCTATTCTAAAATATAATAAATATATATATTATCCTTTCCAGCGCTTTTATTGATTGATTGATTTTTTCCATTTTAACATTCTTCTGTGAGTCTTTCAAAACTGAAAAAAAAAAAAAAAAAGGCATATCCTAGTGCTTAAAGCTATACTATCTGGGTTCCAGTCCCAACTCTGGCACTACCGATTAGATAGAGTCCTTGAGCAGGTAACTTTACCTCTCTGTACTTCAAACCCCTCACATTTAAAATAGGGTCACAATAACAAGCAGCTTTTAGTATTGTTGTGAGGAATTTAAACAGGTTGAAACATGCAGAACTTCAGGAACAGCACCCAGTACATCATTACATTCATTATGCTATGATCATTATGAATGTTGATCTTTTACATCTGGTCTTAAAATGGGCAGTATTTTCTGGAGAATGTCTTCTACTTATTCATTTTACCTATTATCACCATGTATAGCCTGGCTAGATCTCAAAAAAAAAAGTAGTTTCAACAAATCATTTGGAGGCCAAACGTAAAAAGAGCTAACTAAATTAGGAGAACCCGCTCCAACCAGGAAAAAGACAAGCAAAGGGAAGGATGAACATGTGCTATGATGGCTGGCTGCTTAAAGAGAAGAGCCACACGAGTCTGAATAGAAATATTAGCAGACAAGAAAGCTCTATTTTCTGATATTATTCCAAATAAACAATGGAAGTTTTTTTTTCCTTTGAAGAATCCAAGAATGGCTTAGAAAATTGTCACATTTCATCTTATTACAGTATTTGTTACTAAGCAAAATATTTTCTAGTGATGAATAACACTAGAAGTTACCAGAGAAGCTCTCTCCTCAGAACTACAAAATTTTTCTTTCTTACCATTCACAAATGTTTCAATAATTTTTTTTTTAACTCTTGGATTTACTCTCCTGTAGAGAACAGCACAACGTTTTCTCCATGTCTCATCAGGATGGTGGAAACAGCAGCCACTGGAAATTCTGCCCACAAATATTCATAAACATATCATCCTGATATAGATAGACCCTTCACAGTTGTCAAAGCACCTTCACTTACATTATCTCATGTAATCTTCACAATGATGAAACAGGAGCAGGGAGGTATATTTTTCCAACAAAAGAGAAACTGAAGCCCAGATAGATGGTTTCTCTGGTTTCTGATGCAATTGCTTCTTCTACCAATGTGTTCCCAAGACAGACCATGGACCTTACTTCCAGGCTGCACCCACGATCACTACACAAACTGCAGTGTTGTTACTAACCTCCACCTGTGATCTATCTCCCTATTTCATCTCAGTGACAAAACTTCCTGGCCTCTGTAGCTCGTTAAATCTTAACCCAATGCCAGAGTTCCCAAAGTAAAATTGTCAGGGGGGATTTAACCTAAGTCTTTCTACCAACTTATTGTTAGTTACATACATCTGCGCCAACAGATGATCATATTAGAAACCAAAATAACAATAACAAACAACAATAATAATAGCAACTCTCAGGTAGCACTATGATAGACTTTTTATTTACTTTATATTTTATCCTCAAAACAACCCTAAAAGGTAAATTATTAGTATTCTTATTTTATACATGAAGAAACTGGGTCTCAGGGAAGTTGAGAACTTTAGTGGGGCCACAGAGCTGGTGGTGATTATGTCAGATTTGAAAGCCAACTTCAGCTGTATTCAACGTGCACCCACTTTTCATAATGGTGCATTGTTTTAAATCTCTGAATTCCCAATATCCGGCATGATGTCTACCACATTGTTAGTGCTCATTGACAGTGTTAGTAATTAAAGACAGAACCAATGTATTAGTCTGTTCTCACACTGCTGATAAAGACATACCCAAGACTGGCTAATTTATAAAGGGAAGAGGTTTAATGGACTCACAGTTCCACATGGCAGGGGAGGCCTCCCAATCATGGTGGAAGACAAATGAAGAGCAAAGGGACAGCTACCTGGTGGCAAGCAAGAGAGAGCTCATGTAGGGAAACTCCCCTTTATGAAACCATCAGATCTCATGAGACTTATTCACTATCATGAGAACAGCATGGGAAAAACCTAACCACATGATTCAGTTGCTTCCCACCAGGTCCCTCCCATGACACATGGGAATTATGGGAGCTGCAGTTCAAGATGAGATTTGGGTGGGAACACAGCCAAACCATATCAACCAAAACAAGATGTACATTCTCCTGACTGCACTGGACATCTCAATTTTCCTATATGATGCTCACTCCCAGTTTTCTATCCTGTGGGAGCTGCTATCTTGCATTCCTCTTAATTCAGTGGCCTGGAGGAGTTCATGTTGCATATTCTACACTGCTGCTGCCAAAAAATTGCCCTTCACCAGCCCTGAGCATCCTCTGCTGAGGCACACTTGCTCCCTTATGCACTTTCCTACATCTTTATCTCCATCATCTGGTGAGCTCCAGGACACATCCTAAATTCCTTAATAGCTCTAGCCACCTAAGACAAAAATCAACAGCTCCTCATCTGCCACCACATTTTTCTTGACCTTCTCAATGTCAAACAACTACAACTATGATCCACTTCAGCCACTTTGCAGCCTATCATCTCTTGGAAATGCCCCAGCTTGAAAGTTTTCATATTTGTATCTCCCTTCTCTGGCTTCCACCACTCATCTCTCCTTTATTGAACCTGATCATTTTTCTTCCACTTTTTTCAACAATCTGCAGCCTAATAAACAAATCTCCTGCCTCCCTCACACCTTTGCTGTTTCCTTCACCACAACTCTATTCCCTCTACTACAAATATGCTCAATCTTCCATCACCTACAAAATCTTTCCCACAAACCTACTCAAAATCAATTGTTCTTCTATATCTGCCCTTAATATTTGTCCATTTACTTGAAATTTATAATTTGAGTAAGTCCATATGTAGAAATTTAGCCTTTTAGAAATTTACTCCAAAACTATACAAAAAGGCATAAAAAAATTATGGCATGACTTCTGCATATTTCTGCGAAAATGCCTCAAATATCGGGAAAAAAATAATGACATAACGATATCTTTTCACATTAGCAACTTGTTATCCAAATACAAGCAGATCAGGATAACTGGCCAGCCACATGCAGAAGATTGAAACTGGACCACTTCCTTACACCATATACAAAAATCAGCTCAAGATGGATTAAACACTAAATGTAAAACCTAAAACTATAAAAGCCCTGGAAGATAACCTAGGAAATGCCATTCTGTACATAGGCCCTGGCAAAGATTTCATGACAAGCATGCCAAAAGCAACTACAACAAAAACAAAAATTGACAAATGGGACCTAATTAAACTAAAGAAACTCTGCACAGCAAATGAAACTATCAACAGAGTAAACAGACAAGGTACAGAATGAGAGAAAATATTTGCAAATTATATATCCAACAAAGGTCTAATATCCAGAACCTATAAGGAATTTAAACAAACTAACAAGAAAAGACAAACAACCCATTAAAAAGTGGTCAAAAGACATGAACAGACACTTCTCAAGAAGACATATACACAGCCAGTGAGCATATGAAAAAACGTACAACATCACTAATCATTATGGAGATGCAAATCAAAACCACAGTGAGATACCATCTAGGTGATAATAATTATTATTAACAAGAATAAGAATTATTAATAAGAATAGTCAGAATGGCTATTATTAAAAAGTCAAAAAATAACAAATGCTGGCAAGGTTGTGGATAAAAGGGAACACTTATACACTGCTGGTGGGAATGTAAATTAGTTTAACTATTGTGGAAAGCGGTGTAGTGATGTCTCAAATAACTTAAAACAGAATTAACACTCAACCCAGCAATCCCAATTGGGTATATACTCAAAGGAATATAAATCATTCTACCATCAAGACACATGAACACATATGTTCACTGCAGCACTATTCACAATAGCAAAGACATAGAATCAACCTAAATACCCAGCAACAGTCAGTAGAACAGATAAAGAAAATGTGGTATATATACACCATGGAATACTATGCAGCCATAAAAAAAATGAGATCATGTCCTTTGCAGCAAGATAAATGGAGCTGGAGGCCATTATCCTAAGCAAACTAATACAGAAACAGAAAACCAAATACTGCATATTCTTACTTACAATTGGGAGCTAAACATTGAGAACACATGGACACAAAGAAGGGAACAGCAGACGCCAGGCCTACTTGAGGGTAGGAGAAGGGAGAGAATAAAAAAACTACCTATTGGATGCTATGCTTATTACCTGTGTGATGAAATAATCTGTACACCAAACTCCAGTGATATGCAATTTTTCTGTATAACAAACCTACACATGTACCCCAAACCTAAAATAAAATTTAAAAATTAAAAATAACTAAATAAAATAATATTGGTTTGAAAGACAAAAAAAATTTTAATTAGAAAAATACAAGCAATCACCTTTAAATTCAGATTGGTAACTCTTTCTAGATTCACTTGATTCTGTTTTCTTAAGTCTCATAGAGAAGAGCTGCTTTCAGTGTTTTCCAAGGACCAATCCTTCTTTTGTGCTTACTCAGCATGAAACAGTCTCTTTGAACTTACAGTACATGAAAGTCAGACGTGCTGCTCTTTTGTAGTAACAGTTCCCCAAACTACGTTTTTATCATTTCTGATGAAAGTATATGTTCTTTCTCAGATACAACTCAGCTTAAAAATAAAAATATATACATTTACGCCTTAAAAATGGGATACTGTTACTTTATACTATAAGCCTATTCATATTTAGGCAAGAAAATCTTTGATGGAAAAGAAAAAGTAATCAAAATTCTTAAGTTTTGGAGTAAAATATGAAGTTCTGTCTTATGACTTTAGATAATTAAATAAAAAAATTTTGATGTGAGATACAAAATTTAAAGATTCTCATATGAATATTCTATATTCATGTGGATTTATTTATATTTAGATGTATTTATTTATATTTATTTTTATTTTATTAATATTTATTATATTATTAATAAATATTTATTTATATAAAATATATAACATAATAAATATTTATTTATATTTATTATATTATGAGGCAAACATAACTAGAATGCTGCAAAAAAGGAATGCTTTTTTAGTCGTTACTATGCAATGCCTATTACTTTAGAACAATATTAAATTCAAAATAAGATTTCATTTATATCAGTAAATATAAAATTATTCCTTGATTCCTATCAAATAAATACCATACACTCTAAGTGAACATCTATTGAGAATATAGCAAACTAGTGGTCTCTGTTCTCTAAGATTGGATCCATCTTCCTCTTCTCTGTGATTTACCTCCAGGGGGCAGTACAGTTCTGATGATGGGCTCTGGAATTTGACCGCCCTAGCTAGAATATCTGCCCTGTCAGTTTCAGTTATATAAACAAGGACAACTTATTTAACCTGAGCCTTAGCTCCTCATGCATAAAATGAAAAAGCATAGAACCTACTTCATAGGATTGTTATAAGGATGAAATAAGAAAATGTCCAGTATATAACAAGTACTCTTTCAACATTTGTTGCTATGATTTATTAGCATTATATTAGGTTTCCCTGCGACATCATCATTAAACATAATTTATTAAACCCATATATTTTAAGCACCTAATGCATGTAAGGCACTGTAGGTTATGATGCTAAAAACACAACACAATCCCTCTTCTCCATAAATTCTGTCAGGTGGGGAAAAACACACATATAAATTATAAATAGAACAATACAGTAAGACCAATATATGAAGTACTGCAAAAGTACAAGAAGGGTAGATGTCATTACCTCCAACAGGCTAAAAAAAATAAGGGGGTTCTTATCATTGCTGGAGGATGAGTACATGGATCAAATCGAGTTGGAAATGAAAATGCCACCTCCCAGTCTCCTTCCCCTCAACCCTCCACCCAGCCTTGGGCACCACTCTTAGCTGTTTGGAAAAAGGCATGTGACCTAGGCTCAATCAATTAGATGCTCTTGAGTAGACCTTTGATTCTTGAGAGAGAGAGATGCCAAGTTGCTGGAAGAGTCAGAGATATTCTTGGCCCCCCATAGCAGAGGCCAGAGGCTAGTGGCCAGCAGTACACTGGTGTGTTGCCAGAAGCAGCACTTGAAATGGCAGCAGGAATAGTGACTGATCCTCAACAGCCTGCTTCAATGGTGTGAGCTCAGCTGGATCCTCAGCTGTTTACTGTCCCTTGATTTCCAATCTCTTTCTAAATCTGATCTCTAGTCCTCTCACCAATTTGTAAGAAACTCAATATCCTTCCAACAAATAATTTTTCTGCCTATGTTGGACAGAGGTTTTCTGTTAGTTGCAACTAAGAACCCAGACTTGTACCTTGAGTCATGAAGTAAAACTTGCCAGTCTCATTGGGACACCGTCTCCAGCTTTCCAAATGACCTCTAATTACCACTTTCTTCTATGTTAATTAAGATACTATTAGGTTGCCTATTTCAGTGTAAATGGACTTCTTGATTGTGACATTTTATCTCAGCAAAATGTGTATCACAGAAAGTATTGTCTAAATTTTCATTAGCAAAAGAATCTATTGTTTCTACTTGACACAAAAATAATTTTCTATTATTCATCCCTTCCACATAAGACCCCCTTACTCTTCTTTTTATGATAAGCAATAAAGAAGAAAGAAAATAATGTACAGGGAAGAACAATGCAAGGAAACGGAGAAACAAGGAATCATTTATTGGTTTCCTGCAGAAATCAACAAGCCACTCTTATCTTTGTATTCCTCTTAAGTTGATCAAATTGGCATTTTTGTAAAAAGTCAAATATCAGCAACTAGTTGCTTAAAGTAGAAGTTTCAGACACAGGCACATCCCAGCCTGTGGACCTCTGCTTGAGGATGAACAGGTGAAAAGGATTGAGTTGAAAATGCCCATTCCTCTAAGAGGCTCTCAAGGACCACCAGGTAGGGAAACAATTCTTGGAGAATCTCTTATGTGAACACAGTAGAGAGAAAGATCCTGTACCCTGAACTAGTACTGAAAAAAGAAAGATTAGCTGTCCTTCATTATTTGCGCTGTAGGGTATACAGGCAACAAAACCCAGTGAGAACATTTAATAAAACATTGTCACTTTCATATCCCCAAATTTCTTCCTTGCCCTTTATCACTTCCCAGCTGTCTCCAGATTTTATTTTGTATCCACTTGAGCTATGAGGTCAGAGTTAAGCCTTCAGGAATGTGTCTCTCTATAGGCAGAAACCTGACTCTTCCTGAAAAAACCCTTAGTAGACCTTGGGAAAACTGCAGTTGCTATCACATGTACAGAGAGAGCTTTTGCAGTCACTGGACTTTAAATGTTCTTTTTGTTGGACTGCCAAAAGGTTACTGCTCCCTTGAGAACTGAGCCAGTTCCTCTAAACCCCTCCCACTGACTCATATGTTTGTCTGGCTGCAGCTGCTAAAAAAGATGGGAATTTAAAAGCTGCTACACAAGTGCAAAAGCAATCACCAAAACAGTGGCAATATCCTCAGGTCTTAGACCGAAAATATCCATACTGAGAAAGGCATAGGGTTAGGAGAAGAACACTAGATACAAAATACTGGAATACAGAATGGATAAAGATGAAAAGAAACAAGAAGGAAATCACGGGGTTCTCAGGGCTGGAAATTATTTTCTTCTGTGACCTTGCTAAAGGCCATCTCATGGATTTATTTTTTCGGCCCTGTGGTTACGTTTTCTTTGACCTAGATTTCCATGGAGGTTGGTATTGATAAGTTGTCCACCACTGCAATGTTATAATCATATTTTTCAACAATGCTGAGAGAATTTAAAAAGTATATTATCATCATTATTATTTCCTCATTACTTCCATCCTAACAATATCCCAGTGGGTATTTCCTAGGCAAAGTAAACATTTCTTAGCTCTCAAGTTCTTGTATACAAATCTCATGTTTCATTCGGCAGTGCCCTGAAAACATTGATAAGCCAGCACTGTTGTCATCCAGGACTCTAACACCATTTCTGCAGCCTCTCTTCACCCCTCCTCCTTCTATACTGAGAAGTGTTCTCAAGTTTTCCCATCTTTGTCATCAATCAGGAAAGTGATCTAATAAGCACTGATCCAAGGTGTGATGGAGAAAGGGTACTTCCATTCTCTGCAATTATTCATCTTCAAAAAGAGACAAAGGGAAATGATGATGGTCACCACACAGGAATTGCTAATAATAGGACTTTTATTCAAAAGTTTGAGAGAGAATTAGATAAGGGAAGCCTTCCTAGAGAGCCCTCAAATAACACTGTTGAGACACATAGAAGGTACGGCTCTCTAAAATACTGAAATGTTTTCCATGGATGCCCGTTACACTACAAATCCTGAACAACTCATTTAATCCAAAAACAGCTGAAACACTATTTGCTGCACCCATTTAACCCATGTGAAAGCCCGTGCCCATAGATCAGAAATGTCATCTTTAGTGTTAGAGAATGCTCTGTCTTACCAGAATCTGTCTCTTCCATAGCCTTTCTTCATCTGTTACAAAAGCAGGGTGTTCTTTCTTAAGGTTTATTCATCCTAAGAGAGCACTTGAGAATTCCACTAACTGTATCTCACTTTCTTGTTGTGGCTGTAACCCTGTCACCACCAAACCCATTATTTTGCATGAATGTCTCTGACAATACGTACATAATCCACAGACAACTCCATCTGATGTTGTCTTTAGATCTTGCTTAGAGGGGTCTTGTCAAAATCTCCATGGATTCATTTTCTGCCAGTTTCTCTGTGTATTTCCACAAAGATCTGAAACTATTTATAAACTGCTTCACTTCCTGGAAATTTTTTGTTACTCCAAGGAAACTTCTAAGGTTTTAGAGCATCGCTTTGGAACTGGCTGCTTTGGCACTGACCCTACTTTTTTGATTCTGGGGGAAAATGTTCCAAAAACTCATGCTTAAATAATCTCAGCTAAATTACTTATGTTATTTCATAAAATCATTCCTCTGCAGCAAAACTGTAAACACTAAGAGGATAGGAAATATGCCTGCCGTTTGTTTGTCTGTTCACTCATTTAATTATCATCATCGTCATCATCCATCCCGATGCCTACCACATCTCCCCTGCATACAGTGGGGACACAACAACATTCAGGTAATGGATACTGAACTGGGTCATTCAATATTCACGGCTGTGTCTTTGTAGGCCAAACATTTTTGTCTATACAGACAAATGAAAATGGAGATGTTAAAATAGTTTGGTCTACGAAATACAAACTAACATTTGTCTCCTAGCTAAGAAATGTATCAATGTAGAGCTGGGGGGGGGGGATTATATTATTCACTTTCTAGAACACTGGCTAATGACACTCCAACTTGTCAGCAAATAGTTATACATCTCAAGGAGCTAGGTCTCCTTGCCCTTTAAAATCTCCAGTGAAGATGTAGAACAAAACTTTATGTTTCACATTCTTTATTTAGACGCATTATAGCATCAGATGTTTTTTTCTGCCCTCTTTTTTACTTTAGCCATTACTTCTCACAGTAGTGTTTGTAATAAATGCACACAAGAATTAACTTATTGTTAAGCTTTTTAACTTAAGCTGTTATTACTCATTAGCCATCATTCTTGGTGTACATTTAAGAATTCTGACTTTAAATGTTACTATTTAAAATGTAAAATTACCCTTGTTAGAGTAACCTATGGATCAGCATTCAGTAAGGTACCACCTGCAAATATCCAGTCCTTTTTTTGTGTTTTAAAATACAAATAAATCATTAGACTTAATGGCTATTGGACAAGTCAAATCCATTTTTACCTCATTATAATAGTCAAATTTTCAACCCTATTTTAAATGGGGTTTACAGGACTCTATGGCCTAGATTGGATCTTAATTTTCAGTAGTAACATTTAGGACATGGCTTGGCTCTTTTGTGCAATATTAATGAGGAATATATATTTGTATATGTATATACTTGTGTATTTGCGGATATATGTATTCATAGTCAAGATTTTGTTGATACACTCCTATAAAGATCATCTCTCTCACTTGAATCCCAAACACATCCAGATCCCTTTAAGTATAACAGAAAGCAAACTGTTTACAGAAATAAAAAAAAAATCTGCATTGAGCACTTCTACATGCCCATGTACTCAGATTCTCCTAACAACCCTACCAGGTAGCCATTATTATTCATATTTTATAAAAGAAGAAACTGTATCACAGAGGAGTTATTTTCTCCAGCTCTCATGGTCAGTAAGTAAAAGAACAAAAATTGCCTGACTGCAAAGCCAGTACTCTTTCCACTACACCAGACTTTTAGAGGACACAACTGAGAATCACAACAAAGATAACTGCTTGCATAAAACTTTGTGACCCTGCAAAGTGCTTGCAAATATTTATTTGTGAGATATTTTCTTGGAAGAATAAAACTTATTTTCCCAAAAATACAATACTAATGTTTTTGTCATAAGCTAGAACACAAAGCTTGTTTTGCCCAAAATGTGTTTAAATAAATCACACTTTAGGATTAAAAACATAATAATAGTACTGCTAATGTACTTATATTTCAATCTAAGTTGTCTTACCCTGTGGCCATATCATAAACTTCAAGTACTCTTTCTCAAAATACAATCATGGAATATGAGAACTAGAAATAACCATATAAATAGGATGGCCAACCCTCTTAGTTTTCCCAGGACTTTGGGGTCTCCAGGACAAGGGACTTTCAGTTTTAAAACAGAGACTAAAAAGATTCCTAGGACATTTCACTGCTGAAACTGGGAAAGTACCAAGCAAGCCGGGACAAGTTGATCATCCAGCAAACCATCTGGTCTAACCTCCTCATTTCACAGGTGAGGAAGCCAAGATTCATAGAAAACACATGTGTTCATAGAAAAAACACATGCCACTTCTACACTTCTTCTCTTTTAGTCTTTATACAGATTCATTCAGCCTTCAGATATCCAGTAATTTCCCAGACTTAGTCACTAGTTTAATTGCTCATAATTTTCCACTCTCCATTAAGATTTGTGTGTCAGGGACCAAATCTGTGTTCCCTTTGTATTTTCAGCACCTAGTCCAGTGCCTGACTCAGGGTATGCAACTTGTTGTATGTTTGTTGACTGCCATTGAAGGACTAGATTGTATGCTTGGGAGACTGAGGTCTTTATTCAAGTTGTATTGGATTACAGGGACAATTGTGTGTCAAAGATGGAAAGCTGAAAGCTGCAGTAGGCAACATCTTTACCAATTAAATTTTCCTTTATTTCCTGCATTTTATAGGCAGGTATTACTTTATAATAAAAATAAAAGGCATTTTTAAAAGAAAAACCATCAGTGCCTTGTGTTCCCCTGATTAACCAGAGGAATGCTGATTCAGGAGGTGAAGATCATGCCACAGGATAAATTACTGTCTTAAGTGTCCTGCTTGCCAAGGTTTCCGCCGACAGCGCAACACCCATGCATCATATTCTCCTCCTTCATTGTCCCTCACCTGTTGTCCTCACAAATTACTTGTGAAGAAAAAAAAGAGAGCGCAAGCAATCCAGTGAATAGATCCCAATCTTTGATTTATTACTATATCATTGAATGGCCCCAGTTCCTGTTCATATTGAAACCTGAACTGACAGTGCAATGTGCTTAAAAATGGATGTAGCATTTGAGATACGAGATTTCAAAGCAGGGAGTTTTTATCCAGCTGTGCTGCATCTCCACACTTGCCAAAATGCTTATGTTTCCACTTGGTGCTGCCGAGTTACACTTTTCCCTCTTAAAAAGATGAGAACCATGTGCCAGAACTCATTAAGAAATAACCCAGTAATCAGGCTGGTTCCCAAGTAGCTTTTTGACACCAAGTAACTTTCTTTGATCAGTAGAAATGGTACATTATACTCACTATAAACCTTCAAGTGGGAGACACTGCCAAGAAATTCCGAGAGATGAAAACACCAGAATTTTGAAGTTGACCCACAACTGTTTCTTTATGTCACAGTACACTGTAATTCAAAGAGTTTCATTCATTTTGAAAGTGTTTCTACCCTCACTTAAAAACATCCTTTTTCATTTTCCCCTCTTGTTGAAACTCACAGAGTATCATTGTCCTATAACTTGAAATTGTGCCCTAGAATTATTTTATTACAGTGCAAAAGTAGATGTCCAGAGATCCAAAAGCTACAGTTTGTTACTTGATGGTGCACAAAACCACATAAATGTTGCTATGTGTTCAGCTTCTTCACTCTCAGCCCTCGCTTGCTCATTTCCAAAGTTTAAAATAAGCAGTGAATGCAGATTGGCAGAGAAAAAAATCCCATCACCAAAGGACAGTATAGAGACTGAATGTTTGATATCTAGGAAAGGTAACTCTACTCTTTCTTTAAGAAAGGCTATGAGAGGTTTGTGTGTATTTTCTTTATGTAGACCGGGGATATTTTTAGCATCAGTTTGTAAGGTCACTTTCTTCTGCTCTAATGGCTACTTTCCTTAGAATTGCCAAGCACAACAAACTCCAAAACCATAGTTCCCCTTACGACAGCTCTGATTAGCTCGATGCCAAATACAATCAGAACAGCATTCAACCATTTGGGCAGAAACACACAAACAAACTCTAGTACAGGCATACCTCACTTCATTGCCCTTCCTTTTACTGCTCTTCACAGATAATAACATTTTTTGTTTTTTTACAATTGGAGTTTTGCAGCAAACCTGCGTCGAGCAAGTCTATCAGCACAAACTTTCCAACTGCACGTGCTCACTTCGTGTCTCTGTGTCACACTTCAGTAATTCTCAAAATATTTCAAATATTTTCATTACAATTATATATGTTGTGGTGACCTGTGATCAGCGATCTTTGATGTTACTACTGTAATTGCTTTGGGGCACCACAAGTTGCACCCACATGACAGCAAGCTTTTTTTTTTTTTTTTTTTTTTTGGCGATAGAGTATCACTGTGTGGCCCAGGCTGGAGGGCAGTGGCGCAATCTTGGCTCACTGCAACTTTTGCCTCCTGGGTTCAAGCAATTCTCCTGCCTCAGCCTCCCAAGTAGCTGAGATTACAGGTACCCACTACCAGGCCAGCTAATTTTTGTATTTTTAGTAAAGACAGGGTTTCACCATGTTGGCCAGGCTGGTCTCGAACTCCTGACCTCAAGTGATCCACCTGACTCAGCCTCCCAAAGTACTGGGATTACAGGCGTGAGCCACCACGCCCAGCCATGACAGCAAACTTAATCAATGTTGTATGTGTTCTGACTGCTCTACCAACTGGCCATTCCTACATCTCTCTCCCTCTCGTATAGCCTCCCTTTTCCCTGAGACACAATCTTGACATTAGCCAAGTAATAACCCTGTAAGTGTCCAAGTGAAAGGAAAAGTTGCACATCTCTCATTTTATATCAAAAGCTAGAAGCGATTAAGCATAATGAGGAAGACATATTGAAAGCCAAGACAGGCCAAAAAGCTAGGTATTTTGTACCAGTTAACCAAGTAGTGAATGCAAAGAAAAATTTCTCAGAGCAAATTAAAAGTGCTGCTCCAGTGAACACACAAATGATAAGAAAGCAAAACAGCAATGTTGCTGATATGAAGAAAATTTTAATGGTCTGGATAGAAGATCAAACCAGCAACAATATTGCCTTAAGCCAAAGCCTAATCCAGGATAAGGCCCTAACTCTCTTCAATTCTATGAAGGGTGAAAGAGGTGAGGAAACTGCAGAAGAAACATTTGCTAGTGAAGGTTAGCTCACGAAGTTTAAGGAAAAAAAAAACTCTATAAAACAAAAAAGTGCAAGGGGAAATGCTAATGTAGAAGCTACAGCAAATTATCCAGAAGATCTAGCTAAGATCATTGATGATGATGGCTACAGAAAACAACAGACTTTCAATGTAGACAATCCATCCTTCTATTGGAAGAAGATGCCATATAGGACTCCATATGGGCATAGAGAAAAATTTCACATTGCCACTTCCATGTTCCAGGGAGGAGAAATCAACACCTGGCTTCAAGCTTCAAAAGACAGGCTGACTCTCTTGTTAGGGACTAATGCATCTGGTAACTTGAAGTTGAACCTAATGTTCAGTTACTATTCCAAAAATCCTAGAGCTCTTGAGAATTATGCTAAATCTACTCTGCCTCTGCTTTACAAGTAGAACAACAAAGCCTGGATGATAGCACATCTGTCTATAGCATGTTTTGCTGAATATTTTAACCCCACTGTTGAGACCTACTGTTCAAAGAAAAGATTCCTTTCAAAATATTACTGCTCATTGACAAGACTCTTAGTCACTCAAGACCTCCAATGGAGAAATACAAGTAGATTAATGTATTCATGCCTGCTAATACAACATCCATTTTGCAGCCCATGGATCAAGGAGTAATTTTGACATTCAAGTCTCATTATTTAAGAAATATATTTCATAAGGCTATAGCTTCCCCTATAGATAGTAATTACTCTGATAGATCTGGGCAATGTCCATCGGAAACCTTCTGGAAAGGATTCACCATTCTAGATGCCATTAAGAACATTCATGATTCATGGAAGGATTTCAAAACACCAACATTAGCAAGAATCTGGAAGAAGTTGATTCCAGCCTTCATGGATGACTTTGAAGGGTTCAATAATTTGAGAGGAAGTAACCACAGATGGGGTAGAAATAGTGAGAGAACTAGAATTAAAAGTGGAGCCTGAAGACGTGACAATTGTTGCAATCTCATAAAACTTGAACAGATTGGGAGTTGTTTCTTATGAATGAGCAAAAGAAGTGGTTTATTGAGGCGGAATCTACTCTTGGTGACGATGCTGAGAACATGTTAAAATGACAACAAAGGATTTAGAATATTACATAAACTTCCCTGATAAGGCAGTGGCAGGGTTTGAGAGGATTGACTCTAATTTTGAAAAACGTTCCACTGTAGCGAAAATGCTACCAAACAGCATTGCATGCTGCAGAGAAGTCTTTCATCAAAGGTAGTCAACTGATGCAGCAAAAAACACTGTTGTTTAAGAAATTGCCATGGCCACTCCAACCTTCAGCAACCATCACTCTGATTAGTTAGCATCCATCAACTTCAAGGCAAGACCTTACAGCAGCTAAAAGATTACAACTCACTGAAGGCTCAGATGATCATTAGCATTTTTAGTATAAACAATTTTTAATTAAGATATATACATTGTTTTTTAGACATAACACTATTGTATTCACAGCAGTCTACAGTATAGTGTAAGCATAACTTTTATAGGGAGTGGGAAACCAAAACATTCATGTGATTTGCTTTATTTCAATATTCACTTTATGGCAGTGGCCTGGAAGTGAACCCGTGCATGTATAGTGGTGCCCGTATCAGAATCCCCAGTCAATTTCCACATCTAGGACACACTGAAATACATTCATCCTCACCCAGCTGCACCTACCCTATGAACCACTGCTCTAGTACCCATAGCCTTTCACTGATACCATCATCAGCTGTGGCCAGGATCCCGCTAATCAACCTGCCACTTCAGGTAACAGATAACCACATTTGAATTGCGCACAGCCTGTGACCCAGCAGGCCTACTTGAAGGAATTTATTCTACAGATATTTGCACAAGAAGGAAAGAACATGCAAGTGGCAATGTGAAATTTTACCACAGCTCATATAATGAAAAAGGAGGAAAACACACTAATGAACGGATTAAATTAATTCTGTTGAAACAATGAAATTCTAATTCAGCTGTTAAGAAAGGAATAGGTACATCTATATTTGTGGACATATTAGAGAGAAGATTAACTCAGCTCCTCACTGGTTTTGGCAGCCTCCGAACAGGCTTTTAGTCATCATTTTAGATAAAAGCTGAGCTGAGAAAAGGGATCTTGGAGTTGGGCCCATATGACACTTTCATAAGAACACTGAGAAGGTTTTGTTACATCAAAACCACAAGCTTTGTAGGAAAACTTCCTAGCCTGTATGGCAGAGCACACTGGGCTGACGCACATTTGCTACAGCTGTACCAAGATATTATTCCACTCAAAGTGGCCAGGGCAGGGCCCAGAGCCACCTGGACCTGTTGCTACCAGCGGTGAGCAGTCTCTTCTCTTCACTCCAGAGTGCTGCCCAAATATCAACATTTCCATGTGTGCCATACAGGTTTGGGAAGTGGTGAATGTCAGGAACTGCTTTTAAAACATCAAAGGTTACCTGGCACTGGTATCACTGCTTGTCTCAAAGGCAAATTTCCAAAGCAAAGGAAACAGATCATTGACTGTAACTAGAGCAACCTAAGCAAAAGAATAAAGATACCTTGGGCTATTTGAACCCTTTCCCCCTTATACCTTAAAGTCACTTTGAAATGCTAAGTGAAGGAAACCAGATACAAAAAATTGTATGATATATGACGCCGTTTATGTGGAATGTCCAGAAACGGCAAATCCATAGAAACAAAGTAGATTAGTGGTTGCCTGAGGCTGGGGCAGGAACACAGATTAAAGGCAAATGGGCATGAGGAATCTTTCGGGAATGATAGAAATGTTCTCAAATTGGATTGCGGTAATGGTTGCACAAGTCTGTAAATTTACTAAAAAATCAATGAATTGTAAACCTAAGATGGGTGATTTTTACAATATAGAAATTGCATCTCAATAAGATTCAAGAAATACTTGGAAGGAATATTAAACAACTTATAATTTTAGCCATATTACTTATACTTCTAAACAAAAGAAGTATATATAAGTTATAAACAAGTAGTGCATATTTATATGTTTTTTTAATTTTAAAAAATACTATATTTTAAAAAACAAAAAGAATGTATTTTCTCTTGAATAGGCACAGAAAAATGACTAGCAGGAAATATAAGGAATTTTGTTTTTAATGGGTGAGAATGGAGTTTCCTTGCCGGGAAATTTTGACTTCTTACTTTATGCTTTTTTTTTTTTTTTTTTTTTTACCATTAGATATTTTTATAGGCAAAAATTCCCTTTATTTAAAAATATATAAATTATCCTTAATGTCTGTGTTTTTCTTTTGATCTCAAATAGGCTTGTCACCAAAGTTCTCAGAACATATATTATTGATTAAATATTTCATGTCCAGAATAAAAAGGTAAAGTACTTGCTGATTCTGGAAAAAATGTTAAGGATCTAACACACTGTCCCTTGGCGAATGCACTGGGTGACATTCTGCAGAGTAGGTTTATGTTCTGCTTATAGTTTGGAAATAATTTAAGATCAGGGGTTGGCAAACCTGTTCTTAAGGAGCCAAATAATAAATATGGTTGTTTTCCCAGGCCAAATTGTCTCTGTCTAAACAACTCTGCTATTATAGCTTAAAAGCAGCCATGGAGAATATATTTTAAAATGGCTTGGCTGTGTTTGCCAACTCCTATATTAAGTGGTGAAATGAACAATTTTTTAAGATTTGCTTGAAAATATATTAGAAAAATATAACCAGCACATCCAGCCCATGACTTCACAACTATTATTACTTGGGAGGAAATTAAACTTATGTATGTTTTTAAAAGGCTGGAGATTTAAAGAAAAATATTAAGCAGGTTACAGAATAGATGGTCCATGGTATGACGAAAATAATAAAAGATATTTGCAAATGGCAAACATTTGGGAAAACTTCACTTGAACATAAATAACAGCTTCTTACTAACAATAAACCATGGGATGAGGAAAATCTCTCCACACTAGGTAATTCTTCCCAGTGACCCAATTCAGTATTTGAGACAATGCTCCTTGAAAGAAATATTAAAATGTAGATTAAAAATCCCCAAAGGGAAGGGTCCTTAATATTTGCTGGATTATGGAAGCTATGGACCTGCTCTGCAGAAAAAAAAATATGTACTGAAAAACTGTGCTCCCTGACACACATCCAAATTTAGAGACCTCAAAGTGGTAAAAAACAAGACAGCATACACAACGATATTATTCAAAGGCTTTTCCAGGCACTCTAGCGCACATGACCTGTGCTCAGCACCGGGCTCAGCAAAACACACAGATCAAGAATACAGTGCCCTTTGGGAGCCTGTGCCCTCCTCAAATACCAACTGTGATGACATAGGAAGCTGAGCAGGGTCAAAATAAGGGATGCTGCTGTCAAGCCCAGCCCCCATTCAGTTCCACAATTCCGGTCAGAAACAAAACAGACTTCACATTCCAACACAGGGCCATCATTTCCAAATTGATAACTCAGTCATCACAGGGTGTTTCTACCTAGGAAAATTAGGAGTGAGAAAGGGCAAGAGAAAGGGTGGACGGTAGGGAGCAAAAGGAGCTGGCATTGTTGAACACCACGCATGGGCTATGCACTAGACAAAGGCTGTTTTATTGAGTGCTCACAACAAATCCACGAGGTAGATATAATTATCTCCATTTTAGAGAAAAGGAAATGGAAACATTTGCCAAGATTTATCTCCTTTGTCTCATCAAGATGGAACACTTGTAACAGTAATAATGAACAGTAATTATTGGTCTATAAACATGTTTTATTATTTTATGTTTCCCTGTTAGCTTGTTCATGCTACTAGAATCTCTTTTCTATATCTATATTCAACTAAATTATACTTGGCTTTAAGACTCAGCTTAAGCACTGCTTTCCCCAACAAGCCTTCCCTAACACTCTCCCCCATTCTCAATTCACACCTGCCTTGGTTTTAAGTTCCACAGGACTCTACCCTGCTACATAATTCCATAGTAACACTCCACTTTAACTGCTAACTTGCTTGCCAGTCTCCCCCAATAGACTAAAATCTCCGTGGACGTTCAGAGATTATTTTTATTGACTTCCCTTCTCAGAGCTTAATACTATGTCTGCCACAAAGTAAGGACTCAGTAACATCTGCTGAATGAATGAATGCATGAAGAAACTGCATTGCCCAATGTCTAATTAGCATGTAAGTTGTAGAAGCAGGATCTGAACCTAGTCATTCTTTCCATTATACCATAATGTGAGTATGAAAAAAATAAATTATTGGCCAGGTGTGGTGGCTCACGCCTGTTAATCCCAGCAGCACTTTGGGAGGCCGAGATGGGCCGATCATGAGGTCAGGAGATCGAGACCATCCTGGCTAACAGAGTGAAACCTCGTCTCTACTACAAAAATTACAAAAAATTAGTCAGGCCTGGTGGCATGCTCCTGTAGTCCCAGCTACTCGGGAGGCTGAGACAGGAGAATCTCTTGAATCCAGGAAGCGGAAGTTGCAGTGAGCCGAGATCACGCCACTGCACTCCAGCCTGGGCGAGAGAGAGAGACTCCGTCTCAATAAATAAATAAATAAATAAATAAATAAATAATTTACTATTTTAGCTTTAGGATATTAAAAGATAGTCCATCAATGACTCGATTGCTCCGAATTGCTTGGGGAATCCTTTTGGAAGTACCATAAACTAGCCTATAAGGGACAAAAGAACATTTAGAAAGTAATTTTTAGGATGGACATTATTAAAATGTCTGAAATTCAAGGAAAATTAACATTCTGTTGTGCAAAGGAGCTGAATTTTTATCAGAATTAAACTCCTAATGAAATGGGAAGTGGCAGTACAGTGCTCAAAAATAAAATCTTCAGAGTCAAGTAAGTTTATCCTTGTTGTGCAGTTTCTCTAACTTCATAGCAGGCCAAAGTATTTCTGTTACTGCATTTTTAACAAACTTTCAGGAAGGTACAGTCCATATCAAATTGCCTCTGAGATTTCCCTAGAGTAGTTCACAATCCTGGAGTATCCAGGAATCTACATATACCCGCATCTGACTGGGAAGCAAGATGAGCTCACAATGAATGCTAAGTTGTAATTCTTACATCTCTTGAGATTTTTCAGATGGTGTGGAATGTGAAGGGTCCTGGAGGTCTGCCAGAGTGGATCTCCATCCTGCAGGGGCTGAGGCACCCAGCTGCTACCAGTACTACCACCATGGTGAGTTCTGTGTCCCAAACAAAAGTTTGGGAACTGGCTCTAGGCAACAAGAAACTATTGCAAGGTTACAAACAAAACAGTGATTAGATGGTATTTGAAATATTCTTGCTATAGTATTATTATTATTATCATTTCTTATTATTATCACCTCTACAATAACACATTCTCATGTACATTTCCATATGCTTCCAGAATGGGAGGCAGAAAGTGCAGCTACAATTGGTATACATAAAATGAAGCATAAACTTGAGTTGGCAAGTGGGAACGTGTTAGAAGGTTGAAGTTACATCTATCATGTGTGTCACAAAGAGAAAATGATTGACAACTGTTGCTTCAGAGTACTATATTCTATTGAAATGACAAAATAAAAAGAAAGTATTTGTTATATGTCCACTGTATGTAAAGCAATGTGCCAGATATTGATGGATCTATCTATATAGAAACATTAAGAAAAAGCTTACTAGCTTCTCAGGCAAGAACTCTAGGGGAAATATTTTAGATGTGTCACTGCTGTCTAAGGTAGGTCCTCAGCTTTTCTGCTTCAATTTTTTAAAACAAAGTTAACAAACTCTAAATAATTAAAACATAAAGACTCATATTTTATTTTTGTTTAGAATATACGTTTCCTAGTATATTAATATCTACTCTCTATGGTATTGGCTTTTAAGTATCAAGGTATTTGAGTAATCCAATTATTAATCAGAAGATTGTTTGGAAAGCACATAACCAGAAAAAACAGAATTGGCTAATTTTAAAGAACACTGTATGAAACTCTGAAATATGCCTGCTCCCAAATTGCCTATAGACCAAATACACTCATGCCTTTAACACACAGGTTCTCTTTTCCATGAATATAGACATCAACCGCTTACATTCAAATATCCTTTGTTAAATGCTACCACAAAAACCATTACATCCTGAAAGGTAAGTTGCAGCACAAATTTTTAAAATATAGTTTTCATTTACATTGTCATTTTGCCTTCTTGAGGAGATACTTTGTTTGACTTTACTGGAATTATGTATTACTCAACTCTGTAACAGCAACACATTTAGAAAGTAATTTTTAGGATGGACAATGGCCACAGATGCATTCATTCATTTAATAAGCATTTATTGAGCATATGTGCAGGCAGGCTATTGTTCTAGGTACCAGGAATCCAAGCAAAGATGTTTGGGAGACACACAGGTTACAGATAACTACGGTCAGTGTGGTCAGTGCTATGACAGAAAGACATGCCTCAGGAATGCGCCTAATCAAACATGAACAGTTGTGAAGCTTTCCTCATCTTGAAGAAACAGTATGAAGTAACCAGTTGAAAAATCATGCTAAGCTTATCCACAGTGAGCTAATTTTAAAAAACATTTCTATTCAATGGGCAGCCTTTTACTGACTTTGACCACTGATGGGTAGCTCCCATGGGGGATTCAGTAAAGCCCTTATTCACTTACAGGCCTATAATCTAATTAATGCAATAAATATACATCTTAAGTGATGCTTTGGCGGCAAAAACTTGAGATCAAGACCTAGATCTGTTACTTAACAGTTGTGTGATTTTGGACAAGTTAGCATCTCAAAGCCTCAAATTCATCATCTGTATAATGGATAATGATAGTATATACTTCATATAAAATGCTATAAAAATGAATGAAATAATGCAAGTAATGCACTTAGCTTTAGCCCAAGGGCTCAAAAATGTTAGCTATTGCAAAAACATCATTAACATGATTAGTCTTACAATAAATGCACACACATTCAAAAGAGCAAGCAATCATTTCAAAATCTTTTTTTAAAAAAAAGTTAGCAGAGATGCTGATATTTAAGCTAAAACTTGAAGACAGCATCCAAATGTTTATACATGATGGAACAAACAGCAGTGAGAAAATCCAAGAAAATGATAATTTATTCAGAGGGTAATGAGAAGACAATGTTGGCTTGGGCAGAGTTTCTACATGAAGTGAGAGAAGTAGGGCCTGAGTGGTACGCTGCTGCCAGATCCCAAGAGGCCTATGTGCCAGGCAAACGAGCTTGGGCTTTGTCCTGTACATGATGAGGAGCCACTGAAAATTTTTGTCCAGTAATGTAAAACGATCAAAGCAGCATTTTATAAGAAAAATCAGAAAGGGAGAGACCAGTTAGAATGTGACTGCTGGAGTCCTGCTGCCTAGCAATGAGGATATACAATTAAGTCATGAGAAAATAGAAAAAAAATGGACACAGGAAACACTCTGAAGGACAAATAAACAGGACATATTTACTGAATCCCAGTATTGGTCACGATCCTAATCTAAAAAATGTTGCCAAGTCATATTTTCCTAATGAGTATTTAAGTCTGAATTCAAGTTATGAAATTCCAGAGATTCACTGACTCTTCCAGGCATTTTAACGGCTAAGAAGGGTACTTTGCTCACCATGAGCATTAAGTCAGTGTTGGTGTTCAGAATAATGGGGATCAGTATGTATATCGATGTTCATAGCTGCATTATTCACAACCAAATGCCTACCAATGGATGAATGGTTCAACAAAACATTATATATATATAATGTAGATATTATATATATGGATTATTACAACACAACAGATTATTGCTCAGTCTTAAAAGGGAATGGAATTCTGACACCTCATACAACTTGGATGGACCTTGAAAATACTATGCTAAGTGAAATAAGCCAGACACAAAAGGGCAAATACTGTATGATTCCACCTATATGAAGTACCTAGAATAGTCAAATTCATAGAGACAGAAAGTAGAATAGTGGTTAGCAGGCAATGGGGATATGAAGGAATAGGAAGTGTTTGTTTAATGGGTACAGAGTTTCAGTTTAGGATAATAAAAATGTTCCAGAGATGGATGATGGTGGTGATTGTACAACAATGTGAATGTACTTAATATCACTAAACTGTACACTTAAGACTGATTAAAGTGGTAAATTTTATGTCATGTATGTCTTATCACAATAAAAAAATGTGAGTCTGATACCCCGATGCTTACTCAAAACAAGAGAAATGTAATTCTGCCAACCATTTAGCCTAGTGGCTCAGACAAGTAAGACTTCCTGGGTCAGACACCATTAGGTTTTGTCCAACTAGAGAAGTAAAAAAATGCCAATAATCCATCTACATCAAAATGATAATGACATGGTGGCTCAAGGCTCTCTGCTTTTCCTCTGCCCTGTTCTGACACTAAAGGAAAAAGAGAAAGGAAGTCACTCTGTCAAAGTAATCCCTCGCCTTAGTACTTGGTACTTAACACTTGTTGACAAACTCCTTGGGAAAGAAAAAGTAACTTGCCTATCTCTGCCCCTATATCCAGAGCTGTGACAGGTGCTCCACAGATAACATTCACTGAAATTTGAGGGACTAGAACTCAATATGCTTCTATCAATTAAAATGCCCCAAGTGGTGGTTATGCTAGTTGGAATGTGAATACAGAAGACATGCTCTCTGACTTTTAAGATCATATAATCTAGTTGAGGGGATGAGAACTTATAATGACATAATAATGAACATAATATAATTAGCTGCTAAATTGTGTAGTACAGATTATAAGTACTCTAGGAGGTCATAAAAATGTCTAACATCATGTAGAAATGAATAATGAGTTGGGAAATCTTCACTTACTATGTACTTGCAGAAGCAGAGAAAGCTATAAAATGGACTAAAGGCTTTTAAAAGTATCCATTATATTTTAATTTTATGTGTAATACACCTTGTCTACCAAACAGTCCCTTTCTTAACGTTTTTTCTGGATTTTCTTTTTCCTCAGCCTTGCTTACAAGTAATTAGAAAATGCCTCAGAGGACAATAAGTAAATATTCCAACAACCATTCAAAAGAATGTGTAAATTACTGTAAAACAGAGGTACTCAATGAAAATTAGTAACTTCAGTCTTCATAAAATTAAACCTCTTATTCAAAGCTTGATTTGTTCAGACAAAGCCAAGAAGAAATAGATTAACCGACTCCCCTCCTTCCCAAGTGCGGGCTAATGAGATCCAGGGAAAATTTTATTCATTTAGCATCAGAATTCAGACCATTTGCTTGAAAATGGGAATTTCACAGCACTCTGCATGGCATAGATCAAAACAGACATGAGTTTTGTTTCTATAAAGACCCCAACTGTGAGTGTGTGTACCTTTTTGTTCTGGAACCCTAAACATTAAAAGCCATATGGCTATGTAGCTTAAGCAGTGAACTGAAGAAAGTAGGCATTAAATTCTATTTCCTAGACTGCTACCCGCTATAATCTCTCTCATCACTTCCTTCATCCTTTCACCCTAAGGAACTATCAAGCATTCAGCTCTGTTAAATTTCAGTAAATAGAGAGCAACTTGGTATTTCTCAATCAACTACTAGCTTCACATAATACTGGCAAGACATGAGGGTGTTTTAGGTAATCTATTGTGGCATAACAAACTACCTCAATACTAAGTGGCTTAAAACAACAATTTTGTTTTACTCATCATTTTGTGGATCAGTTTAGGACGGGTCAGCTTGGTGGTTCACCACTGATCCACTTGGTGCCAGCTGTTAGCCTGGGCCAGAGGACCAACGTTCAAGATGGCTTCCTTCCTTTAATGTCTTGCACTTCCCATGGTGTTTCTGGTCTCCCTCTCCTCTCTCCCCTCTCCCCTCTCCCCTCTCCATCTCCCTCTCCCTCTCTGTCTCCCTCTCCCTCGGCAGGTCCAGAACTAGTGTGAATCGAGTTAAGAGAGGTGCCTTGGGTGCAAAATTTAAGGGACACTTCTTCTCAGTGTCATGCAAATGCACCTCAGAGCACCTCCTTAAATTTTGTACAAGGCACCTCTCTTGCCTCACCCTGGCCCTGGCCCTGCCTCCAGGGCCTCTCTACATAGCTCCATGGCTCAGGCTTCTTACAGCTTGGTGCTCTCAGGGTAGGAAAGGGGCAGGAAAAGTCTATGCGTATATTAATAATTGGCAAGGTGTCACTTTCACCCTATTCTATTGGTCAAAACAGTCACTGGGTCTGCCCGGATGCACAGGTAGAGAAACAGATACTACCTATTGATAAGGCTGTGAGAAGATCTCATTACAAAGAGCAAGTGGTATGAGAGACATTGCTGCAGCCATCTTTGAAAAAATACATTCTTCTACATCTTCCCTTATAAACTATCCTTCACTTTATCCATGGAACACTGCTGTGATATCCTCATTAATATCCTCATCTCTAAACTTCATTTTCAGCTCAGCATGCTATAGCATACCTCCACCAGACCTTCCTGTTATTATCTCATTAGCACCCTTACTTAAAGTTTCTAGTGGCCCCCGACTTATAAATAAAACCCACACTCTTCCACCTTCATTTAAAGTGTTTCATAATTTGGTCCATCTCACCTGTTATGGATTGAATTGTTTCCGCTAAAAGATATGTTCAAGGCATAACTCCTGGCTATGGTTTGAAAGTTTCTCCACCAAAATTCAAGTGCTGCCAATGTGATAGTATTAAGAGGTATTGCCTCTAAAAGGTGATTAGGCATGAGAGCTCCTCCCTTGTGAATGAGATTAGTTGCTCTTATAAAAGGGCTTGATGGAGAGAGTTCATCCTTTTTTGCCATTTTGTCTTCTGCTGTGTGAAGACACAGCATTCATCCTCTCTAGAGGATGCAGCATTCCAGGCGCCATCTTGGAGGCAGAGACTGGACCATCACTGGACAATAAACCCGCTGGTGCCTTGATCTTGGACTTCACAGCCTCTAGAACTATGAGAAATAAATTTCTGGTCTTTATGAATTACTGAGTCTATGGTATTTTGTTATGGCAGCACAAACAGACTAAATTACCCAGACCTGTAAATGTGAGCTTCTTTGGAAATGTGGTTTTTGCAGATGTCATCAAGTAAAAGTGAGGTCACACTGGATTAAGTCAGGCCCTAATCTCATGACTAGTGTCTTTATTGAAAAAAAAAAAAAAGAGAGATAGAGAGAGAGAGATTTGGACACAGAGATACAGAGGAGACACAGGAAGGAAGGTCATGTGAAGACAATGGCAGAGATTGGAGGGATGCATATAAAAGCCAAAGAATGCCAATGATTGCCAAGAGACAAAGATAGAAAGAGACAAAGGAAGATTCTTCTCCAGAGCCTTGATAGGTAGCATGGATGGCCAGGTCAAAACCTTGATTTCAAACTTCTGGCCTCCTGACTATGGAAGAGCAAATTTCTTTGCTCTTCTTTGTTTTCAGCCACAAAGTTTGTGGTAATTTGGCATAGCAGCCCTAGGAAACTAACATACCATCTATCCAGGTCTACCTCTCCCACGGCTTCCAAACATTCACCCTTCATACAGACAGAGGTCTCTTCCCTGTCTCCATCTTCCAATTCATTACCACACCTGTTTGTCCTTTCCTTCTTCTATAAGTAGCAAAGCATAGCAGTGTGCACAGCTATAAATTGTCTCTGAGTTAGAACTGTCTTCTTCTACTGTTCTGGTGGGCAGGGCACTTGTCCCAAGTGCTGAGTCAGAGTACACTTGGTACAGAGGCATTTCATGCATTTGTTAACTAAAATAAAAAGTGAATAGATATTAAGGTTTTTTAGTAAGTGCTTAGAGTTATAAATAGAATTACCTATCACATTGTTTATTGAAAACAATTGTTTAGGTGACACAGCAATTTATAGAAAACAGATCTGCAAAGCTATAGAAGTCCTTCCTTAGCTATCTACCACCTACCTGTCGTAAATTATATAAATTACAGTGGCTTTAATTAACTGGACCAAAAATGACTTCCAAATAGTAATTCAATAACCTAGACCTCTAGCAAGGTTGCCCCCATTATTATCATTTTGATGGTTGGAACAGTATATGAAAAGCTCCTTAAGGAATTAGAGAGATCATCTATATTCTTTTTAAATAACAATAGGGATTAGACAGTTTATAGTACATATTGGTCACACAGTTATGAGTATAAATCATGCCACAGATTTGAAAGACAGTATCTGATATGCGAAAGAAATTGTTCTGTGATGGCTGATCTACAGCTGGAGCCTGGACACCCTGGTTATGTGTATGTTCCACATCTTAGCAGACAACCTGGAAGGCATTCAGAGGAGTGAGCAAAATGGTGAAGAGGCTTGAGGAACAGCAGAGTAATGCAGTGATGTTTCAGTTGAAGAACAGATGTCTCAGAAGAAATTCAATTTCGTTCATGTATAAGAAATATTTTTCTAAAAAATAATTATGCTTACTTCTTTGTACCCTAAATAGAAAAGCTAAGCCAATAAATGAAAGATAAAGATAAATTTTGAATTGTCATAAGATTCCTAAAAATAAGGTTAGTAATTGTGAATTGTCCCTGGAAATGTTCACGCAAAGGTCTGTAACTTCTCAACAAGAATATCTCATTTATCTTTGTAGTCCTCATGCATAGCACAGTTCCAACATATAATAACTGATCAATATACATCTGATAAATAAAGTGAAATTCAAGTAACTGATGGTAGTTTGGATTAAATGTTTCCTTACAAACCTAGGATTCCCATATTTTAGGATTCCAAAATAAGCTCAACTATGAGTCACTAATTTTTCCTTTCAATGTGTCACATAGTCATAATTTCCTTTATACTGGATGTGTACTCCTCAGGAAATTAAAGAAGGATCCCAAACATCTTATTGGGAACATTTTAGGTAGTACCATGCAGTAATTAAGTGCAAAATATGAAACACTTAAGAAACTTCAAAGGCACATATTTACACATATACTATTAATCTAAAATTTCCCTCATTCAAGGCAAAAATGGGCCGCAATTTACCAAATCTGTATCACAGACATTATGCTTAGTGCTTTAATATTCATTCAAAAGTATTTATTGAACACTGACTGTGTGCCACACACATGTAATATTTATAACCAATTTAGCAAGGTAGGTATTAATATCTCCATATGAAAGCCAAAGGAGTTATGTAACTTGTCCAAGTTCAGGCACCGCAAGTCCATATACAGCCTTTGTACAAATTTAAAAAAAAACAGCTGGGTGCAACGGCTCACGCCTGTAATCCCAGCACTTTGGGAGGCCAAGGCAGGTGGATCACGAGGTCAGGAAATAGAGACCATCCTGGACAACATGGTAAAACCCTGTCTCTACTAAAAATACAAAAATTAGCCAGGTGTGGTGGCACGCATCTGTAATCCCAGCTACTCGGGAGGCTGAGGTAGGAGAATTGCTTGAACCCAGGAGTCGGAGGTTGCAGTGAGCCAAGATCGTGCCACTGCACTCCAGACTGGCAACAGAGCGAGACTCCGTCTCAAAAACAAAACAAAACAAAATAAAAAAACAACGTACCTCTTCATCAAATGTTATCCCATCTGTAATAAAAGTGGCCATAATATATTGATTTTATTAAAACCAGACACTTTACTGCTCACAAAATTATCTTAATAAATAACCAAATTTATAATGTCTATAAGTAGCATACACTTTAGATGTGTTTTTTTGTGGAATTCACAATCCACTCAACAGTAAATGACAATCCTGTATGAGCTATAAGGACAGAACCAGAAATTTCACTCCAAAGTACCATCATTTACTCCCACCCTAAATGAGAATGATCAGTAATTTCACATAAATTCTGGCTGCATATGACTGCTGTCTCCGTTCAGCACTGTTTCATTCTCAAAGTACTCATAAAATGTATTTCTGTGGACATAAACCCACTGAATACATGGAAAGCAATTAATACTGGATGGCTACGAAGGTTTCTCAAGAGAACCCCTCATCAGCCTCTCCAGGCAAGAACTGCTTCTCCAAAGCCTGATTTTACCTACTAGGAAATTGAAAAATATTCTTAAGAATAGTATAAAACAGTTGTTCTCATAAATATCACCCAAATAACTCAATCTAAACCTTAAGGTCTAATTATTACAAAAATGACTTGAATCAGATTTCACTCTGATGTGAAACTGCTTCAGCTCAGTATTCAGTCAAATTATGGAAGATATTAAGATAAGAGGGGTTCTGCCTTTTCCTAGAGATGATATGCCAGAGTGTGAAATGGCCTTAACACCCATTGAGAATAAAAATGCCCTTAGATAGAGCAATGCATGTGTACATGATGCTTTACTCATCCAAGCCACTCTTTTTGGGTTTCTATTGTGTTGTAGGTTTTGTGTTAGGTGCTGAGGACACAGTAACAATCAGATCGATCCAGACCACACTGTGCTCTCATTCCAGCTGACAAAATTGTCAAAAAAGAAAAATGCAATAAGTGCTACAACAGAGATCTAGACAAAGTGTAGCAGGGCCACTTGGTGGGACCCTGCTTTGTCCCACACACAGAATTTCTTGGAATTTAGGTAAATAGAGCTCATGATAATGTAAGTAAGCTTTAAAATTAACTTAAAAACCTATCCCAGGCCTGGTGCAGTGGCTCATGCCTATAATCCCAGCACTTTGGGAGGCTGAGGCCGGCGGATCACCTGAGGTCAGGAGTTCGAGGCCAGCCTGACCAAATCCGTCAGCCTGACGGAGAAACCCCATCTCTACTAAAAATACAAAATTAGCCAGGCATGGTGGCACATGCCTGTAATCCCAGCTACTCGGGAGGCTGAGGCAGAAGAATCGCTTGAATCCAGGAGGCGGAGGTTGCAGTGAGCCAAGATCGCACCACTGCACTCCAGCCTGGGCAACAAGAGCAAAATTCTGTCTCAAAAACAAAACAAAACAAAACAAAAAAACAATCCCTACCATCATACCATCATATTTGGCTCATCAATTATTATATCTAATATATAATAGATGTAAAATGAATAAATAAATGAACTTTCCAGCTTACAAATTAGACTTGGGCTATAAGCAAGCATCTACATCAATTATAAAAGAAGTGTTCATGAATACAAAATATTTTTAAATACCCAAAAGCCTAAGGCAATTTGAATTGAGGAGAGATGCAATTTAAATACAAACCTCATACTGACCAACTTAAAAGATACATAAATTATTTGTGTTGTCTATTTGGGCTACTTAATCATGTATTTTCAGCATCTCAGTAACACAGTTTTTTTTTTTTTTCAGTCACGTGGACCTTCTTTTTTCTTCTAAATCTCAACCATATTATCTATATGGCTGTGCAAGGAAGATCAATAAGGAGGAGCTCTAACAATTTCCATTGGTTTTCTGCAATCCAAACCGAGATGATCCAGGCTTAAACAAGACGTAGGGAGTCTAGGGGTAGAGAAAGGCTGATTCTTTGCTGTATCTTACAGGAGGTCTACGCTTATGAATTCCAGCTTTTCAGGTGGATAATTTGACATGAAGGTTTGTTCTTTGAACATTTTTAATCATTCTATCCTGCCTCCCAAGGCTCCCAAGAGACATTTTACTGAAATAGAAGTAAAATGCTAAATACTTTACTCACCTTTTCCTCTAATTCTGTGTTTTGACCTTTTTTAAGTTTTCATCTCACATGCTATTATAAATAACCTGAGGACAGGAACATAGTCTGTGCAGTTCTCTCTAATCAGCATCTATTCCAGCACCCTATGCAATGAAACACTCACAAAATATTTCCTAGTGATTAGACAATAGTTTACTGTCTAATTGAAATGAAACTCAAAAGTTGGGACCTTGTTTTAACATACTTTATGCAATGTCTGATGTGAAGGAAAATCACAAAATATGAGAATTAAAAGAAGCCTTGAAACTATTTTGTTATTATCAACAATTTATTTTTTTAACCCTGTGAACTTCCTCCATCCAAATTTCTACCACTACCACGTAACAGAAAATAGTTCCAAACTTTCTATGAAGAGTCCCTGGAACCATAGAAGGGGAAGAAAAGAGATCATATACACCACAATACATTTGCAGAGAAGATCCACTTCTCAGTAACTTAATGAAATTTTGGAACCACTTAGGGCTACAACTTTGTTAGATATTAGTATTCAATACAATTTAAGTAAAACAAATAAGAGCAGACAATTTGGGTTGCAAACAGTTCAGAAGGCAAAACCAAGTTTCAATTAACTGTAAATTTTGTACAGCGAAACACTAGTAAGTTAGTTCTTGATTCTAAAAAAAAGTAAGTTTAAATTTCTTTTTCTAAACTTATCGGCTCTCCGGGATTGATAAAAAATGCAAATTCCCACCCTATCTTTGGTAGGTGCGTGTACACAGATCTGACAAGAAACTACACAAAGGGAAATGTTAAAAGTTGATCCTTCTTAGCAACATAAGAAAACCATTAAAGAGAAATATTTCCGCAGATACTTACAAGGTGAAATTTTTGTGTTCTAGCTTTTTTCACTAATGAACTTTCTCATTGCCCCTAAGAGTCTGAATACAAACAAATATTTCTAGTTCTTCCTATAGGTCTACATAAATTCCCTCCAACTTCACTTTTCTCCTTTCCTGAAATCAAATGTACAACTGTTTTACATAGGAGCAGCATAATGCTAGGCAATTAGTAAGTGTGTTGGTGTTCATAACAGAGATTTATTGCAACTATATGCAAACATTGTACTATGGATTGAGCAAAATTACATAAACAGAATAGCCAGTATTCCTGATTTGAAATTTAAATATCAATACAAATAAAATGAAATAGTAAAGAGTAGAACGGAGAAATGGGAGGGGATGTGGATGGGATGCGGGGGAGGGGATAGGATAAACTGATAGAATAAAAGATAATGGGGAGATTATTTTCTTACTCTTGGCCCCACCTCACTCTTCCATGATTATCATGCTATGGTTCTACAGTTTTCTAAATTACTATAAAAGTCTTAAAGACATAGCCTGCCCTGTGTTTCTTCTCATCTTTAGCACTGCCCAAATGGAGAATATAACTTTGAGAAAATAAATATTAATAAGTGATATGGTTTGGCTATGCCCCCACTCAAATCTCATCTTGAATTCCCACGTGTTGTGGGAGGGACCCAGTGGGAAGTAACTGAATCATGGGGGCAAGTCTTTCCCATGCTGTTCTCTTGATAGTAAGTTTCATGAGATCTGATGGTTTTAAAAAGAGGAATTCCCCAGGCTTCCCCGGCCACATGGAACTAATCCAGTTAAACCCTTTTCTTTTGTAAATTGCCCAGTCTCAGGTATGTCTTTATCAGCAGCATGAAAAATGGACTAATACAGTAAATTGGTACCAGTAGAGTGGGGTGTGGCTGAAAAGACACCCAAAAATGTGAAAGCAACTTTGGAACTGGGTAATAGGTAGAGGTTAGAACAGTTTGGAGGGCTCATAGGAAGACAGGAAAATGTGGGACACTTTGGAACTTCCTAAAGACTTGTTGAATGGCTTTGACCAAAAGCCTGATAGCAACATAGATAATAAGGTCCAAGCTGAGGTGGTCTCAGATGGAGATGAGGGACTTGTTGGGAACTGGAGCAAAGGTAACTCTTGTTATGTTTTAGCAAAGAGACTGGCAGCATTTTGCTCCTGCCCTAGAGATTTGTGGAACTTTGAACTTGAGAGAGATGATTTAGGGTATCTGGCAGAAGAAATTTCTAAGCAGCAAAGCATTTAAGATGTGACTTCAGTGCTATTAAATGCATTCAGTTTATAAGGGAAGCAGAGCATAAAAAGTTTGGAAAATTTGCAGCTTGACAATGTGATAGAAAAGAAAAACCCATTTTCTGAGGAGAAATTCAAACTGGCTGCAGAAATTTGCATAAGTAACGAGGAGCTGAATGTTAATCCCCAAGACAATGGGAAAGGTGTCTCCAGGGCAAGTCAGAGGTCTTCATGGCAGTCCCTCCCATCACAGGCCAGAAGGCCTGGGAGAAAATGGTTACCTGGGCCAGGCCCAGGGTCCCCATTCTGTGTGCAGCCTAGGGACTTGGTGCCCTGAGTCCCAGGCACTCCAGCGGTGAGTAATAGGGGCCAAGGTACAGCTCAGGCTGTTTCTTCAGAGAGTGCAAGCCCCAAACCTGGGCAGCTTCCATGTGGTGTTGGGCCTGTGGGTGCTTACAAGTCAAGATTTGAGGTTTGGGAACCTCCACCTAGATTTCAGAAGATGTATGGAAATGTCTGGATGCCCAGGCAAAAGTTTGCTGCAGGGGTGGGGCCCTCATGGAGAACCTCTGCTAGGGCAGTGTGGAAGGGAAATGTGGGGTCAGAGCCCCCATACAGAGTCCCTACTGAGGCACAGCCTAGTGGAGCTGTGAGAAGAGGACCATCATCCTCCAGACCCCAGAATGGTGGATCCACCAACAGCTTGTGCCGTGTGCCTGGAAAAACCATAGACACTCAAGGCCAGTCCCTGAAAACAGCCAGGAGGAGTGCTGTACCCTGCAAAGCCACAGGGGCGGAGCTGCCCAAGACCATGGGAACCTACCTCTTGTGTGAGCATGACCTGGATGTGAGACATGGAGTGAAAAAAGATCATTTTGGAGCTTTAAGATTTGACTGCCCCGCTGGATTTCGGACTTGCATGGGGCCTGTAGCAACTTTCTTTTGGCCAATGTCTCCCATTTGGAATGGCTACCCAATGCCTGTACCCACATTGTATCCAGGAAGTAACTAACTTGCTTTTGATTTTACAGGCTCATAGGCAGAAGGGACTTGCCTTGTATCAGATGTGGACTTTTGAGTGAATGCTGAAATGAGTTAAGACTTTGGGGGACTGTTGAAAAGGCATGATTGATTTTGAAATGTGAGGACATGAGATTTGGGAGGAGCCAGGGGAGGAATGATATGGTTTGGCTGTGTCCCCACCCAAATCGCATCTTTAATTCTCACGTGTTGTGGGAGGGACCTGGTGGGAGGTAATTGAATCACGCGGGCAAGTCTTTCCCATGCTGTTCTCATGATATGAAAAAGTTTCATGAGATCTAATGGTTTTAAAAAGAGGAATTCCCGTGCACAAGCTCTCTCTCTTTGCTTGCTGCCATCCACGTAAGACATGACTTGCTCTTCCTTGCCTTCTGTCATGATTGTAAAGCTTCCCCTGCCACGTGGAAGTTTAAGTCCAATTAAACCTCTTTCTTTTGTAAATTGCCCAGTCTCAGGTATGTCTTTATTACTAGCATGAAAACAGACTAATACAATATGTCATACAAGAGAAATAGGAAATGATAGCACTAAAAGCAATGCTATGAACGTAACAGCCCCAAGCATTAAGGAATCAGGTTATTAATTGTTACCTGAAATAAACCATGTAAATGTTTTCTCAAAGTTTTATTTTTTAAAATCCATCATTGTGCCTTTGAAGTAGGAACTTTGGAAGTTTTAGAAGTGACACTCCTATAGTACTTATAGCAAAAACTACATCTTTCACGAGCAGTTTGGACTGGATTTCTACATCTATCATAACATGGATACATTTAATTTTCTAAATATCGAACGTTTCTTCTCCAGTCGTGTTCCTCATGGAGAAAGAGTCCCAGCAAAAAAACAAATGCTGAAGCAAGGCCCCAAGCTTCTAACTACTTTTGCTGAGTGACGGGGAACGCTAGCACCTTATTAGTTAATCCCAAGGGGAAGGTCTGCCATGCAGGAACTAGCAGCCCTCAGAGTCTAAAACGTGGAACATATAACATCCTACTCGCATGCTCACACATACGCATTTGCACATGGGCTGACTTACATCCAGGAGACAGCCCCTGAGCTCTTTACAAATTGCAGAGAAGCCCAGGAAATCAGCTCTAAAGATGATGTGCCTCTGCTCTGCTTCAGAGGCTCCAACTCATCCTAACTGCCCTGAGAGGTTTCCATGATCAAATCCAGGAGCAGGAGGCAGAAGAGCTGAGGCTCACAAATGGCCCATCCGGGCTTTTCCGTGGAGCCCGTTTCTGCCCGACCCCCCTGAGGAATGTAAACGATCTGTTCAGGACTGAACTGCTTTACCCTCGAGGATGTAAATTATTCATTACCCCCTCCTTCTTGCACATTTTGCCTTTCATTTGCTCCATCTACTCCCTGCTCTATCTTTACTAATTTATCTCTAAGCTACCTCAATTGCCTTCTGCTCTGCTCCCCTCAGAAACTTAAAAACGAAACCGGATTCATTAGCCAAATAACTGGATTAGAGTTCTCTTCAACATATCAGGCAGTAGAGAAAGTTGCTTTGTAATTTCTTTGATATTCAGCCTTTTAGAAAGCAATTCCTTAAATTACTCTGTTTAAATCTTTGAACTACTTAACTTTCTTTGATAGCACGCTAACATTGCACTAAAACCTGTGCAATGTTATGAAAACTTTAATTTCTGTAGTCAGTGCTTCCACATGAACAGCAGGGGGCAGTAGGATATCACGAATTGAAAAAATTGTCCTGGGCTCTGAGAAACACTGTTGAATTACTGCAGTGGGTCTGTGTACTCGTGATGATCTCAGCTCTCGGATGAAGTCTTTTGTTTTGTGTCCTATTTTACAATGCACCGTTCAGTTTTCTATATGAGTTGTGGCTTAGTCACAGTATTTCACTGTGACAGCTTAGCTTAAGAAAAAGAAAGGTGCAGGAGAAAAAAAAAAGGAGGAAAAGAGAAAGAGAACATGTAAATGCTTCCAAATAAAACACATCATGAAAAGGAAAAAGTAATCCTGTGTATACATATAAAGTTTGTCCCTTCTCTGTTCCTATCCTGGACACAGTTTTTCTAGATTACAGACTGAATTCATCCCTAGTCCTCCCCAACACACACACACACACGCACACATTTGCCATATAGTTTTCTGTCAAAACAGATTTCCTATAAAAAGAAAAACAAAAAATACAAAAAACTCTTTAAAAACTAATACTTGACTTTTTTAAAAAATTCAAAAAAATCTCTCATTTTCTGTCCTTTAATCAAGCTTCTGAGTATAGAATTTTAGTGTTTTCATGCTTTTTGAACATGTATTAGTCAAAATACCTTTCATTAATATGAATGTTGCAATAAAATTCTTCCTCTGTAAATGTACAGCTTCAGATAAATAGCCAAAAGCTATAGTTGTTATCTATATCTGATATGTTTGGAGGTAGGATATGAACTACAAACTGAAATATGAGAGACTTGAAGAACAGTCAAGGATTCCTGCAATCGTATGGGTTGGGAAAGGTGCTTTAGTAATCCAACCCCCAAAGTTAGCAAATACGAAGCTACTTTCATGCATAATTTGAGTTGTACCCAAAATATCATACCCGCAAGCCTAGTTTCCTCTCCTACCTAGGCTGGAATTCCCAGGGTTATTTATGTGTTCTCATAGAGTTATTAATTTATTACTGTGGTATGGCAGATGTATTATTTCAACATCTGGTACCAAAATTTCTCTTGAAGGAGGGACTCTCTGCTCCCTACTGACAGGGCCCTATCTGATCCTCTGGTCTTATCTCCTACTGTTCTCCTGCTTACCAACTTTGATCACACCAGCTCCCTTGCTGTTCCTTAGAGCACACTAGCTACTCTATGCCTCAGGGCCTTGGCCCTAGCTGTCCTCTGTCAGGAACAATCTTACCTCATTTATCCAAATGATTCATTCTTTTGCCTATTTCAAGTGTTTGTGCAAAAATCACTTCCTCCGTGAGGCCTTCCCTGATCACTATTTAAAATAGAATATTCTCCCCAGCATTTTTTATGCACCCTTTCTCCTTTATTTTCCTCAATAGCACGTATCACCATCAAATATGCTACATATTACACAGGTAAATATAATACAGGAGATAACTGAGACCAAACATATCAGCCAACAGAGGGCTCAACCTCAGTGTTAAAACAAAAAGAAAAACAGGTTGATTTCAAAGGAAAATCCAACTCTATGCTGTATATAAAAGACAAAGACCCACCTAAAACAAAACAATTCAGAAATGCTAACAATGAAAGGAAGGATGGGTAAAGTTCTACTGAGAAAATGCAAATTAAAAAAAGAAAGAATTGAGATTTTGCAATTCAATAAAATAAAATTCAGACCAAAAACCATTATTGAGACAAAGAACATCTTATAATCCTAAAGGCTACAATTCCCAGTGAAAATAAAAGATTTATGAAAAGGTATGCAGTGAATAACACAGCAGCTACTTTCATACAGTAGGAATTATAAGAGATTCAAAGAGAAATTGAAATACACTAATAATAGCAGACTATAGTACATTTCTCTTAATTAGACAAAAAAATACAAAAACACTTAGAAAATTGACTCTAATTTACAATACAGACATGTATGCCCCAGTAAATCACATAAAAATGATCTAAATATTCACCATAATATGATAAAACCAGAAATTTATAATCAAAACATAAGAAAGCCCCATTTTGAAATTTAAAATTTTCCTATTAAACATAGCTTGTCTCAAAGGGAAATATCAATTGCTAATGAGAATTTCTAGAAAAAAATGAAAACATGACATTAGAGTTGACAAGATGCAGCTAAAGAGTGTTCAGAACAAAACTGATAATTTAAATAAATAATGAAATTATGAATTAGATATTCCACTCAAAAAGAAAACGTTAGATATATTTAAGGTTCTTTTCCATTTTGGATTTTGGATTTAATTTTCTTTTTAATTGAGCAACCTAGATTTTTCTTTTTTTTTTTGAAGGAGTCTCCCTCTGTCACCCAGGCTGCAGTGCAGTGGCGCAATTGGCCAGTCTGCTCTTGAACTCCTGACCTTGAGTGATCCACCTGCCTCAGCCTCCCAAAGTGCTGGGATTACAGGCATGAGCCACTGCACCCAGCAAGCAACCTAGATTTTAAAACAACATGAGATAAATAAGCCTAATTGTATTTAACTACATCTAACATTTTTACTAATAGTTGTAATACTGGTAGATTTTGGAAACTATTATATATATTATGCAGAAAAGTAAATAATTCTGTTAATATCATTTAGGAGCCATGATTTTCAGCATAGGGGAAAAAAGATGCAATATAAAATCAAATAAGTAAAAACTCTATAACCTTCTATTAGAATTGGAATATCAACACAAATTTATTATTTATTTTCATCTTTCTTTGAAAAACTACATCTCTCCTAGATCTTGTGTTGAAAAGTCTGGGAAGTGATAAGCCATTTAACCATGAACATCTTTCAGTGCAGACTGTAGCATCCAAATACCTTTTTCACTGGAAGCAACAAGGACACCTTTGAGAAATGGCTGATTCTAGGTCTGAGGCAGTAAATGTACAATATGAGACTGGAACTCTTACAGTGTCAGAAAGCAAGTAAGCTATCAAGACATTCGAGCTTGTGTCAAATAAACAAAGGAGCCAAAAATGGCCAAAGACGGGCAATTTGAACTTCAAAATGGATAATCACTGCAATTATATAAAAGTGTAAAAAGAGATACAGATACAATCAACATGAAACTCCTAGAAGCAACAGGAGATTCAATATGGTAGCAAGATACAAAATTAGACATAGAAATCAGTACCTTCATTTATGTAAGAATCTAGCTGTTATAAGGAAAAGTGGAAGAGATAATCCCACTTACGATACCAACAAAAAAGAGAAATACTCTAAGAATAAACTTAACAAGTGAAAAACCTTTATGATGCTTCCTTGAAAGACACAAAGCTGAAACTTGAGCACGAGAAAAAATAAACCTTGCTTTTCAAAAGGAAAATGCAACATCATAAACTGAAAAGGTATGCAGAAGATTTTTTTTTTGAAAGTACTTTTATGGGGCTATATTCTATAGTTAACATGAAAAAATAACCCAGCATTAAAAAAACACTTAAGAAAACAGCAATGATGCAGTCTAGCCCTACCAGATACTGAAATATAGTCTCTAATAAAAACAGTATATTAGCCCATAAGTAGACAATAAGATCAATGCGGGGAAAAAAGAAAATATATCTTAGACCCAATTACAATGTGGAAATTTACGTATGTGATAAAAATATTGCAAATCGCTGGTCAGGGAGGTGCTTTATAAATTAAATGTTATGACAGCTAAAAAGTCATTTGAAAATAGATAAAATTGGATACATCACCTAGGTAGAATTCCTGCATATATGTTTGTGTGTACATATCTATTACTCGTGAATCTTATAATGAGGAACCAATCTGACATCTCCAAATTGAAGGATATTCTGGAAGACCACCGGGCTAGACTTTTCAAAAATGTCAATACCAGGAGAAACAAACAAAAAAGGCTAGGGAACTGCTCTATATTGAAGGAAGCGAAAGAGACTTGACAACTGCAATATGTGGTTCTTATTGATGCACTATGTGATTCTTGTTAAATCTCGGATTTACATTTTACAAACTACAGGGTAAAGAAGGACATTTTGGGACAATTGAGGAAATTCAAATATGAAATATAGATTATTGTAATATAACAATGTTACATTTCCTAAGTATGATGATGTGCATTGTGATCCTGTGGTCCTCAATTGAGGCAACTTTGTACCTCTCCTTTTTCCCCCAACCCTCACCACTACCCCTCCCCCCCTCAACCCCCCCAACCACACCGTTTGGGTTTGGCAGTGTCTGGAGGCATCGTTGGCTGTCACAACTGGGGGAGGGGGTTGCTACTGGCATCTAATGGGTAGAGGCCAAGGATGCTGCTAAATAGTGATTGTTTAGCACAGGACACCCCCACCCCACCCCGTCACCCCACCTTACGGGTACAGACAGCAAAAACTCATCCTGCCCAAAATGTCCATAGCGCGGGGTTGAGAAACCCTGATGTAGAAAAATCCCTTATTCTTAGGGGATACATACTGAGATATTAGGCTGAATCACATGACATTGTCTCTTGCGTAGGTCAAGTATCGGCAATATTTAAGGACGAAAGGTTATGACGTTCACAACAAACTCTCAAAATAATGAACAAGCCCCTTCCGCCCCGGCTGCCCCGCGACCTAGGGGACCCGAGAAGGGCGCACTCGCACGGGCCGCGGAGGCCAACGCCGAGCCTGCGCGGCGGGAGGCGCTGAGAACTCACTGCGCACGCGCCGGTCGGCTGGCCGCACCCACGCGGCGCAGCTCCCAAAGTTGCAGACAGCCCGGCGAACCGCGCAATGCGCTTCTTCTGCCTGCAGCAGAGAAAAGGAAAGAAAACTCCGCAGGGGCTCCGTTGGCTTCTCCACGAGTGACAACCATGTTTTCCCAGATAGAAGACCGGAGCCCTGCTCCTTTGCGATCCGCCGAGGGCTGCAGAGAGCATCCTCATCCATTTGGGCACCCCTGCCCAGGAAGAGCCCGGCCATCCCTTTCCGGACTGGATCCTTAAGAGGTGAATTTTCTTCCGTGGATTCCGATTTGCTCCGTCTGACCAGCCTAGGCAATCCAGCATCGCGTGGTACCAGTGCCGCTGGGCACACTGGCTTCACGCCGGCTCCGCCTCACCAGCAAGCGCATTCCCAGGTAAAAATTTTAAATACCTTAGAATTCTTCTGCCTAGACCCTCTAATCAAGAAGTTTACCCACTTTTTCTGTAAGGAGCCAGAAAGCAAATACTCTAGAATTTGGGCCTGGAACTGTCTCTGTAGCGTATTCGTCTTTGTTTTGAAAATGTAAAAACCACTCTTAGCTGCTGGCCTTACAAAAATAGAATCATGAGGACTGTGAAGATTAGAGCCTAATCACTAATTCACCCAGCACAGAGGCTAGAGCGCCAGTGAGTCCTCCGCCCCTTCCCAGGCCCGACCATAGTTTTGCAGTTAGGACCCAGGTTTTGTGAGGACTGGGACCCACCCAGGTTTAGTTCACAGTCTCTTGAATCCCTCCCTGCACCTGCACCTCTGCTCCTCCCCCTAGGCCGGTGGCCCTTGGTGAGTTTCTGGCAGTCTCCTAGGCCACCAGGAAACACTCCGACCAACTGCCACGCCCTCCTTTGCTCCAAAATGACAAGCTCTTTTCATCTGGGAGCAAAAGCTGAAGTCCCCACATTTGAACTAAATTAGTTTAGTGTAAAAGTAGTACAAGATTATCTCAGACAATTGTATTTTAATAGTATTTTTTTCTAGTGATAAATGTAATATATGTCTACTATGGTCATTTGGAAAATTCTGAGACGTATAGAGCAGAAAAGAAATTCTCCATAACCCTAACCCACAAAAAATAACTTTTGAAATGCTTGTGTATTTTTTAATTCTTTTTTAATGCATATTATAGGACAACTTACTGAACATTTGGATTTTTAGAAATATTTTTAATAAAACGTGTTGAAGTACAGCATACAAAAAAGTGTACAAATTACAAATACAGTTCAGTAAACTTTCAAAGATTAACACAAACATGTCCGGGCAACCACAACTCAGCTCAAGAAATTAACTAATAGTAGCATTCTTCATCCCCCTGTTAGTTTTGTCTATTCTGACATTTCACATGAAATGAATTACTTGGTAAATATTTTATAGTATTTGGTTTATTTCCCTTTATATTATATTTGAATTCATCCGTGTCGTTGCATGTAACAAGTCTTTTTTACAATTTTATTCTATGCTGTATGAAATTCAGTTATATGAGTATACACAATTTATTCTTTCTACTGTTATTTTTTCTTAATTACAGATTTATTGAGATATAATTCACACACCATACAGTTCATCTACTTAAAGTGTGCAATTCAATGTGTACAATTCATTGCTTTCAGCATATTCGCAGATATGTGCAACCATCACCACAGTCAATTTTAGAAAATTTTCATCACCTGGAAACTTCATACCCTTTAACTATCACTCCCGCAACCCCACTTCCCTATCCTTTCTAGCCCCAAGCAACCACTAATTTTTCTGCTCTATAGATTTCCCTATTCTGGACATCTCACAAAAATTGAACCATATGATATGAGGTCTTTTGTGACTGGTCCCTTATGCTGATACTGGACATTCGAGTTCTTTCCAGGTTTGGAGCTATTACAGATAATACTTCCGTGAACGTTATTCTGTGAATCGGTTCACATAGATACACATTTCTATTGCGATACATATCTAAGGTATGCTCATAACCAGCTATAATTACAGTGCCAAGCAGTTTTTCAAATTTATAGACCTGCCAGCATTGTATGATGAGAGTTCTCATTGTTCCACGTCCTCTCCAACATTTAGGGTTTATGTGGTTTTAATTTACATTTCTCGGATGACTAAAGATAAAGAGCATCTTTCATGTGATTATTGGCCACTCGGATATCCTCTTTAGTTAAGTGCCTTTTAGGCATTCACCCACTTTTCTATTGGCTAATCTTCTTCTACTTGATGTGTATATTCTAGATAAGTGCTGCAAACAAACACCTTTTCCTAATTAAACGCTTGCATTTTAACTTCCCATTTTTAGATTTTGATAAAGGTAAATCTTTTATTTTTATTGAGGTCTAATTTATCACTCTTTGTTCATGGTTAGTGCTTTCGCTAACCTGTCAGAAATCATTGTCTACCCCAAGGTGACAAGGGCATTCTCTTATGTTACCATCTGGAACCTTAAGTTTTTTCTTGGAACACTTAGATGTGCTAACTACCTAAAATTAATTTTGGCATATGGTGTGAAGTGAGGACTAGTTTTTTTTTTTTTTTTTTTTTTTTTTTTTAATGTAGCTATCCAACTGACCTAAGTTTTTTTTGGAAAAGAAAGTCCTTTCCCCACTGCTCTGCAACATCACCTTTGTCATAAATCAATAGAAATAGACCTACAGATGTTGGAATCAGTAGAAAAGGAATTTTAAAGATATTTATGGCTATTTTAAATTATTAAAGATTCTTACTAAGGGTAGATATGATAAATGAAGACAGGGAATTTCAAGAGAAATACAACTAATAGAAGAAGAACAAAATGGAACCCCTAGAACTGAAAATTATAATAACTGAAATTATTTGATGGGATTATCAGTAGATTGGACAACAGTAAGGAGAATCAGGAAGCTTAAAGATAGGTCAATAGAGGGCCAGGTACAGTGGCTCACACCTGTAGTCCCAGCCTACTTTGGGAAGCCTAGGCGAACGAATCATTTGAGGTCAGAGGTCAGAAATTTGAGACCAGCCAGGCCAACATGGTGAAACCCCATCTCTACTAAAAATACAAAAATTAGTTGAGTGTGGTGGTGCACACCTATAATCCCATCTACTCGGGAGGCTGAGGCTGGAAAATTGCTTGAACTAGGGAGATGGAGACTGCAGTGAGCTGAGATTGTACCATTGCACTCCACCTGGGCTACAGAGTGAGACTCCATCTCAAAAAAAAAGATAGATCAATAGAAATCATCCAAATTTAAAGTGCACTGAGAAAAAAAAAAGTTTATAATAAACAGAACATCAGTGACCCATGAAATAATGTCAAGACATCTAACTTACATGAAATTGGACTTTTAGAAGTCAAAGAGAGAAACTATCAGGCAGAAAAATACTTGAAAAAGTATTAGCAAAGGTTCCCCAAATATGATCAAATATATTTATCCAGAATGTTTACTTGTTTAATGAAGAGTTGATCCCATAACCTATTTTGCCATTAGTGGAGTTTAGAAGTTAGCATAAAAGGTTATAAAGTGTTACATCTCCATGAATGAGCAGCAGGGCATTTAAAAGTCACATTGATTGTAGAAAAAATACTTTGCTGGGTGGAAGGGTCCTGAGCATGGCTATTCTTTTAACATAAATGTTGCCTGCCCACTAACATTACCACCACCCCAATCATAGTAATGCCAAAATTCCTCACAGTTTTTCAAAATATCCCATTGGTGCACAGTACGGCCCTGCATCCACTGAGAACCCTTCTCTCCTGTGATCTGCCACTGCCTCGCTGTTCCAACCTTTCTAACCTCATCTTCTAATGCTCTATGTATCAAACCTCCCTGGCCTCCTTCCAGATCAGGGCTTTGGGGATTGCTTTTTCCTCTTCCAGAATGCTCCTGCCCCCAAATATTTATATAACTGACTCTTCCACAGGTCTTTGTTCTGATGTCATTTTTCTCAGTGAGACCTACCAATGAAACAAACCAAACAAAAAACTTGTACATTCTCTCAGCATCTGGATTAGTTTGCAGGGCTGCCATGGCAGAGCACCGCAGACCCAGTGGCTTAACCCTCAGAAAATTATTTTCTTAGCTCTGGAGACTAGAAGTCCAAGATCAAGATGGCAGCAGGTTTGATTTCTCCTGTGGCCTCTCTCCTTGGCCAGCCATTGTCCACTTTCTGTGTCCTCTCATGGTTTGTCCTCTGTGGGTGAGTGCCCCTGGTGTCTCTCTGCATGCCCAAATTTTCTCTTATAAAGACAGCATTTAGATTGGATTAGGGCCCATCCAAAGGGCCTCATTTTAACTTAATTGCCTCCTTAAAAACCATTTCTACAAATATAGTTACCTTATGAGGTACTAGGGGTTAGGCCTTCAACATATGAATTTTGGGGGTATATAATTCAGGCCATACACCATCTCTTGTTTATTTTCATCTGTCGCCCCTCCCCCCCACCTTTTTTTTTTTTTAGATGGAGTCTCACTCTCTCGCCCAGACTGGAGTGCAGTGAAGCAATCTCAGCTCACTGCAACCTCCACCCTCCCGGGTTCAAGTAATTCTCCTGCTTCAGCCTCCTGAGTAGCTAGGATTACAGGCATGCACCATCATACCTGGCTGTAGCCCTTATTTTAAATTCAATGTACTGTAATGATTTACTTGGTTTATTGTCTTAACTTTCTGTTCCACTGGAATACAGGTTCAATAAGGAGGGATTTTAATCAATTTTGTTCTCTGAAGTGTCTTCAGAACCAAATGAGTAAAAAATTATCATTGTTGACGTTTTCACTTCGTGCTAGCATATGGGCAATCTCAATTTATTTCTAATAACTCCCTGTATCTTTCAGAGCATTCCTTCATGAATGAAGAAAGCCCTGATAGTGTTCCAGTAATTTATGTTTTTTATGTTTGAATTTCTTAACAAAAAGAATTATACCACTAAAAGATCCAGCTTTTTTGTTTGTTTTACTTTTTGAAAAAAAATTTATATTGTTAATAGAGACAGGGTCTCACCATGTTGCCCAGGCTGGTCTCGAACTCCCGGACTCAAGTGATCCACCCTCCACAGCCTCCCAAAGTGCTGGGAGTACAGGTGTGAGCCACTACACCCAGCCAAGATCCAGCTTTTTTACCAGGGAAAATAAGAAATTTAATATGCTTGTTTCCAAAGCAACAAAAGCTTTACATGATTAAGTAGACTGAGGGCTCTTCCATATTAGACGAAAATATCCAGCCAAATTGCTGAGGACTCCCTCAGACAGGAAAAAAAATGTTTAGAGCCATCCTCACAAAGAAATTTTCCTGTTTAATTATAACCTAATTATGACAACTTTTTTTTCTTTAGGTGGTCAGGCTCAGGATGGACCATGAGCTTTCAAAAAGGAAAAAGGTGGAAATCCTCAACTATGCTGCCATCTGAATAAGTGTTTCTTTGTAGATGCACAGAGTCAAGGAAAATTACATCCCTGCATTATGTAATGTACCAACAACGCACTTACCCACTGTTTTAATCTAGGTTATTCTTGAAAGCAGAGCCTGAGACAAAGGTAGACACATTCTATTTATGAGTCTAACACCCAGGAGCAGGAATGAGAGATAGGGGAGTGAACTGGGGAAAAGGGAAACTAAGTCCGAGCAAAACCAGATACTGCTCTTATCAAGTGGTCCACCCCTATTAATGGCTACATAATGCAGAACTTTCTCAGGATTCTTCTTAAACTTTATCTCAGAACTGTCTGCCTCAGGGAGAAAGGAGAAGTATTTCTCCATCAGCAGCCACCTCCTGTGTGTTGAGGGCTGCTCCTTTGGGGCATTAACCCACTGCCTCCACCACCCCAACCCTCTGGGCTGCAAAGAGCTAGCTGACAGTCCAGCTGGTACCTTAGCATCACACATTGCTGCATCAGAGAGGTCTTAAGACAGGAAGCTAGAGTCTTGGTGCATGCTCGAAGTGAGACGGTGTCAGCACAGAGCAGGGTAAAATCTTCCCGTTAACTCTTCACCAGAGCTATGACTGGAATCAGAGGTTGAAAAGATGTGAGACTGTACCCAAGAAGCATCTTATAAGCCTACGTAATATACTGTTAGACTCATCGAAATCTATTTCCTCCCTTCTTTATAATCAAAACTTCAGTGTCCAGAATAAAGTTGGCAGAAGGGTTAAATTGGAAAGTTAAATGTACTAGAAGGTGTACATTTATAAGTTTTGACCTTGAGTCGTGTTCAAGGAGAAAGTGACATTGGAACTTGGAAAATTTAAAAATGATTCTACTTGAAAAATTTGACCATTGCATAGAAATATTAGCTATCGTCTAATCTTTTGTAATCTTAGAAACAATCGTGAATTGTTTGGTGAAAAATGAAAAAATAACCATTTCTTATGTCTCCGTGACCTTTATAGACCAATGTCACCAACTTTTCCTAAGGTAATTGTTTCCTACTGTCAAATAGCTCTAGTGATATAAATCTTAACAATCAATGAAGGGAAAACTGGTGGAAACATAGGAGGAAAAATACTGGGATAATTTTCATCACAAAGTATTGGCATTAACATTGGTTAGAATAGGGGAGAAACTGCATGACTTGACAACTGGACATTCCTGTATGTTGTATGAGGCCCTGTCTTAACAGAAATAGTGATGTCATCATCATCCTCTCTTATTTGGTCTTGAATTGCCACCAATCGGATAAAACCTTTGAATTATTTAACTCAATATATGTTAAGTTTCTACTATGTGCTGTGTATTGGTACTATAAATATGAATAAGACATAAGATATTACATTCAAAAACATCAGAATACATGTTCTTTTAAAGTATACCCCAAAACATTTACCATGTGTTCTGGGGCGCATGTTAGGCTGGATCACAAATCAAGTCTCAAGAATTTCAAAAGATTGAAATCATATAGAGTATGAATTAAACCAGAAATCAAGTACATAAAGGTAACAAAAAATTTCCAAAATGCATTAATTTAAGGAACATACACCTCATGACCCATGAGCCAAAAAATAAATCACGGCAAAATTGCAAAAATATTTTGAAATGAATTTTAAAGAAAATACTTAGCATATTAAATACTTAGCATATTAAAGCTCTAAGTACATATGTTAGAAATTTTACCGAAAGGTTGGCTATCAGTGTTTCCAGAAGCCAGGGAAAAAGTTTATACAATTTGATCGCTGAGGCAGGGAAACAAAGTGAGACCTCCGATCGCCCTGCCTTTCTGAGGTGAGCACTCTGGATCCCATCGCAGGAGATCAGAGTCTTGCTGAGTTGAGGAGAGGAAGATTGGAGTTGATACTGAGATAGCTTGAATTTTCAGGACAAAGTATCAACAAGGAGGAAGGTAGACAAAAAAATCCAGAAATCTATGTAGAGACCCCATTGTGTACATTGCGGAACACTAAGCCTAACAATTCTCAAAATTAGCGTGAGATTGGGAAATATCTAATTTCCATCCAGCCACAGTGGAGAGTCCTGACTGAAAACCAGGCATTCGCTAAAGATCCCAGAAAGGTTGTGTGTTACATACGTAGGGCTAAACTATCCTGACTAAAAACTACACTACACTTGCTCCTCACCCCCACAAAAAGCTTAAAAACAAGCCTCAATAGTATAAAGCTGATCTGTAAGTAACTAAACTACCTGCAGAACAAAGTCCAAATTTATTAGTTCCAGTACTCCAAAAAAAACACATGTAAAAAAAAAATAGATTTACAAGACATTTATTTGGGGAAAAAAAGAATGCCTGAGGGTTGAAATGGAGAGGAAGCCAGAGAGACAGAGTCCTCAGAATACATAAAATTTCTGGCCTCCATGGAGGTGTGATGGTTAATTTTATGCATGTCAACTTCGCTGGGCCACAGGATGCCCCATATATGATCGAACATTATTTCTGGTTGTGTTCATGAAGCTTTTTCTGGAGGAAATTCGCATTTGAATTGATGGACTGAATAAAGCAGATTGCAGTCCCCAGTGTGGATGGGCTTGATCCAGTCTTCTAAGGACCCAAATAAAATAGGTGGAGGAAGCTTGAATTTTCTGCCTGACTGTGGCGCTGGGACACCCATCTTCTCCTGCCCTTGAACTGGGACTGACACCATCAGTGCTCCTGGTTCTCAGACCTTCGGACAGCAGACTTGGGGCCTTCTCGGCCTCCATTATTGTGTAAGCCAATTCCTTATAATAAATAAGGGTTTATTTATTGATAAATCCTTATAGGTTGATTATAAATCCTTATTAATTGATTGATAGAGCCATAGGTTTTATTGATCCTGTTTCTCTGGAGAACCCTGACTAATACAGAAGGAGAGAGGGAAGAAAGGCGGGTTGAGTAGCAGAAAGCTTAGGCTGTAGCACAATTCCGATAAAGTTTAAGGTCAGCTGATGAAGAACACTCAAACCAAAGTCGCCCATTGGAGGAGCCCCCTACCTCACAGGAATAGGCCTGCATTATTAGTATACCTTCTTCATTCAGTTATTGTTATTCTTATGGAAACAACCCATGGGAAATGTAGCCTTGGCATGACTGTATCAATGGATTCAGAGAGCAGTAGCGGGGACCCCCCCAGTCAATTACGTTCCACAGCAAGAGATCTCAGTGGTGCATATCCACTGCTGGCTCAGTCCACCCCTTGGGCTGCACAGCTCTATTCAGGCCTAGCTGCCAGGAAGATTACTAGGTATCATTGTCAACTCAGGCTCTGTGCCCAGTAAACCTGGAAATGTCTGGATATTCTTCCTTGCCAGCATATAGTCATAAATCTATTTGGGGAAGAACTTGCCATTTCATCAAAGTCTGTACATGTATAGCAGGGTTCTTCCTCCTAGTGACCTGTGACCTAGTAACCCAGCCACCTATGGGTTCTTCCATCTGTGGCTTCCTTACCTGAAAAGTGCTTCAGGTCTAGGAACTGAGAAAGGGATTGTGATGTGTCATTGGAGCCAGTGCGGTTCCATTCGTGCCTTATTTGGTTATAGGCGTTAAGCAGCATTCTTGTTAGATGCCCATCTATTTTGCCTATAGGGGTGTTACTTTCAATTAATTATCTCCTAAACACCCTGTGAATCAAACCCCCTTAACTACCCCTCCAATTTCACCAGTTGTTATAGTAATTATGGCCTCTTGACTTTTGGTAATTAAGCACTAGTCCTCCAGAGCCCTCTATTACTTGAGGGTCCATTACCCCTGAATCATATTAACAATCCCAGCTCTGTGACCACCTCATTTACCATCAGCCCTGGTCTAAAGAGTAAAGCCACTACTGCACTTAGTGATACTGGTACCTTCTCACAGGCTCATTCTTGGTGGCCTTAGTGAATTGTCACTATTTCATGACATATTCATCACAGTATATCCATCACATATTCATTCATCTGACCCTTATGAAGGTGTGATGGTTAATTTCATCACAGTACATACATGCCATTGTATAGCAGGTCCTTAACTAATATAGCAACACCAACGTTCTCAGGCAGAACCAATAGACCCTGTTGAAGGGCAGGCAAGCCCAGAGCAAACCATCTATATGCAGTTCTTTTAACAGCCTGCAAGGCACTGTAAGATTAGGGAGACGTTTATCGAATTATGTTCTGTGGAAAACTAGTTCCATAGGATATGAACTGATGTCAGGAGAAAAATTAAATTAGAAATTTGCTTCAGTGCCAGATTCTCAAAGCCATTCGTATGTGAATGTTTAGTGCAACTCTCCAAAAGAGATGATTTGATGTGTTACATGTGGCAGTAGTATGATGTGCAGCCCAGATCCCCCTTCAAAGAACGGCTTGCTCCCCACTTGCTGGGTGTGATGTTAGCAGGCAGCCTGCAGCTGTCAGCCCTCTTCAGGAATTGGCATAGCTGTAGAAAACCACTTCACCTAAGGTCACACTTTTTTGTGGAGTGGCCCATAGCCAAGGATTGATCAGTGTGGAGATACAAAGTTGTTCTCTTGCCCATCTGAGGACATCTCCGAGGGCCGTTTTAACTCCAGAGCTCCCTGTGGGGTTGGCCAAGGCTGTCATTGGACCTACATTATAACTCATTTTCTCCCAATTCCGCTTCTCTCTCTCTTTGAACAAATGTTTGGCAAAAGGCACTTCTTAATAAATATCCTGCAATTAAAGTATATCTCAGAATCTGCATCCTGGAGAATACTGTCTGAGACACCCCACTTTCTAATTTTGTTTGCCCATCAAAGCCCATTCCCCGCCCCCCTTTTTTTTTTGACAGAGGCTTCTTCTTTCACCTGGAAGGGAGTGCAGTGGTGCAATCTCGGCTCACTGCAGCCTCTGCCTCCCAGGCTCAAGCAATTATCCTGCCTCAGCCTCCCGAGTAGCTGGGATTACAGGTACCCACCACCACGCCTGTCTAACTTTTTGTATTTTTAGTGTAGATGGGGGTTTCACCATGTTAGTGAGGCTAGTCTCAAATTCCTGACCTCAAGTGATCCGCCCGCCTGGGCTTCCCAAGTGCTGGGATTACAGGTGTGAGCCACTGTGCCTGGCCTAAAACCCTTTTTCATAGAGTACCTAACAAGAGTAGGCCTTAAGAAATATATTCTGGATGCTGGTAAGTGCAGGTGTGAGAACTAAGTACCTATGTGGAAAGTAAGGGGAGGGGTACCCGAGACTTAAATCTCAGCTTATGAATTCCTTTGAGATTTGAAACTAGCTTAATTTTGATGTGTAACTCTAATGCTTAAAGTACTGCAGGATCTACTATCTATGGAGGTGCTACGGAGAGGATCTAAATATTATGTGACCTATGCAAATAAATTTTCTTTTCTCTGTAACAGTGTTTAAAACTCTAAGATAATCCGTGGTTGTCAGGTAAAATGCACTCATGTCTATCTGACAGATACAAATGTTTTGCATTCCAGCTGCTTTTAGATATTTAACGGGAGAGGAAAAGAGAAAATATGATTAAAGCCTTTGAAAGTCCATTTCCAAGAAATAAAAACTGCAGTAGGAATTCTACAAAACTGAAAAATCTTCAGGACTGGAAGATCTATCCAGAAAAGCCCAGTGGATTATAATAACTTATTAAAATATTTGTTTGGCAAGCCACTGACTAATACCACTTTAAGATATGAATGCATTACCAAAAAAAATTGGAGTGAGTAGTTTTTACAAGTCTTTGAAATAATCATATTTGTATTTTGACACTAATTTGAAACAAGGAGCTGGCTTGAAATATTAAACCTAAGTGATCAGAGACAATGAGCTATCAGACTGCATGATCAACGTAGAGCAATCTCCACATAAGATGAGATGCATGCAGCCTCTACAAATTTGGCTTGGGGAGGAGTTTGCTTCGCTCGCTTGAATAAGCCACTGTCTATGGCTCACAAGGGTCCCGTTCTTAATGAGGTGGTGCGTAGCAGCAACACACTGTGAATCCAAATAGCAGATGGCAACACTGTTGAGTAGGCTGGCAGTCTGATGTCTAGCCACCAACTGGCAGCAATCATTATTAAACTGATTCATGTGCCCAGGGAAAATCTTCATAAGAGTCTTAGCAAATGTGAGCAGCAAGAAGCAAATGATCTGCTATTCCTATCTGCTATGAGTACTACCTATATTTCTTAAAATATTTTTCCCCAGTGCAACCTACACAAAGAAATGGCATGTTATGTGCACTGGAGGCCCTATTCCTTTCCTATAGATGCATGTATACCTTTAAACATGATAGCTGTGATTTCTCTATTTGGTGAATAGCTTTCCCTTGACGGAAATAGCTTCATAGCATTCACCCTATGGATTTGTTGCACATATTCAATGATAGGCAAGCACTCATAGATTCTGTAAATAAATAACTGAACATATTCTATCTCACATAATGAAGCAATGGCCTACATTGCTCATAGTCCATCTACATGAGACAGGTAACTCATCCTTGGGTGAAAAGTTTGTTACACTCACACTTGGTTAGGAAAGCAGACTAAGAAAGGCTCTAGCTTTAGAAAACTTATGTAAGGATCTTTCTACAAGAAAATCTTAAAGGTATACATTTAAAAGTTAAGTCTTTATGCTGGGTGCAGTAGCTCATGCCTGCAATCTCAGCACTTTGGGAGGCCAAGGCGGGCAGATCACGAAGTTAGGAGCTTGAGACTAGCCCGGCCAACATGGTGAAACCCCATCTCTACTAAAAATACAAAAAATTAGCTGGGCGTGGTGGCACATGCCTGTAATCTCAGCTACTCAGGAGGCTGAGGCAGGAGAATTGCTTGAACCCAGGAGGCAGAGGTTGCAGTGAGCAGAGATCACACCATTGCACTCCAGCCTGGGCAACAGAGCAAGACTCCGTCTCAAAATAAATAAATAAATAAAAGTTCTGTCTTTACAAACCAAAATGCTAAACAAATAGCATTTTTTTCCAAATGTTGAAAGTATGTGTTGTTTGTAACCAATAAAGCCAATTTCCACAACTTTATATGTTAATAAACAAGCCTTAAGGTAAGGCTTTTATTGAAAAACAAAACCCTGCTTTATTCACTTACAAAATACTTACAGTTAAATTAAAAAACAAAAATTCTAGCCATTCTCTAAATCTTCATTACATTTTTAAAAATTAAGATACTAGAATTCTTTTACATGCTCATAATAACAAGGGGAAAGCTGCAGTTAAATGTCAGATATTCCACATGTTAAAAAATATATTTTATTTTATGTTCCATTTATGGTAATTTTTTAATAGAAGCAAAATTTAAAATCTTTTTTAAGAAGTAATAAAATCACTCTGAATGGATTATTTTTGGCTTTATCAATTTGATAAATCAATCCAGGCTGAAATATCATTTATAACTTCTAGAGTGAGTGCCCCTGCTCTTGTCTCAAATATGAGAGTGATTATCAACCAAAGTTAGATACCCCAGCCCTGGCAGTCAAACTCAAAAGCAAGCTTGCACGCCGTCTCTCAAGTCTCTCAGCATTCTCCCCAAACAAGAAATCAAGTGCCAGAGCTTATACACTTAATATTTGAGACCAAAAAAGAAAACTCCAAACAAGAGATTTACTCAAATGTGCTTGTCTCCCAGTTACTTTATAAGAAGTAAATCCATGTCAGAAGAAAAGATGCCCATGTCTTGTTCTGCATGGGAAATAAGTGCCATGTACTAAAAGAAGCCTAAAAATGGTGGCACAAGTTTCTTTAAATGGCTAAAATCCCTCAAAATACTGAACATCTCATCAGACCATCAAGAGTTATGTTTTTTGTCACACATTATGAAATTCTAGATATCCCAGCCTGGGCAATATGGAAAACCTCGTCTCTACAAAAAATGAAAAACTATCCAGGTGTGGTGCCCCATGCCTATAGTCCCAGCTACTTGGTAGGCTGAGGTGGGAGGATTGTTTGAGCCTGAGAGGCAGAGGTTGCAGTAAGTCATGATTGTGCCACTGCACTTCAGCCTGGATGATAGAGCAAGACTGTGTCTCAAAAAAAAATAATTCTAGATATTTGAAAAATAAGATAGGGTGATGAATGTTTATCACCGGATATTAGGGTGTACTCAATGGTAAGTATAAAGGGAAACCAGCAATGGGTAGGCTAGTTCAAAAGATGTATTATATTTCCAGATATTCTGATAACAGTGATAAAGACTTGATGGTGAATAGGTATGTCGATAGCAGTACTGCAGATGCTCAGTTTGAGTAAGTCACCCACACTACCAAAAGATGAATATTCTTTTTGAGAACAGAAGAATTCTAGTAATCATGAGCTAAGGATGCTGGAAATTCATTCCTGAAAATGTATATGTACCAAGTAGTTGTTTTCTGTTCTCCCATTCTTCATTAAACCTGTCCTTATCAAGAACACCAATGATGTCCATCTTGTCCAAATCAACGTTTCATACTCAGACTCTCACTTACTCTAATTCTCAGAGGCATTTAATGCAGTTGATCACTACCATCATCTGGAAACACTTCCTTGGCTTGGTTTCTAGAACAACAGTATATGACTAGTTTTCCTTTTTCCTTATTGGAAGTTCATTGTCCATCTCCTGTTTAGCTCCTTATCAAAATCCTGACCTTTGACATTTGACTGTTGTTCTTAAATACACTGTGTAGATTCTGATATCTGAATGAACTAGACACTCTGCTATGTACATTCTAATGAGGACAGGGACTATGTGTGTCTGGTTCACTGCCAATGTCTAATACATGGTGGACATTCAAATATTCGTTGAAGGAATGAACGAATACTAGAACAACATATGCAGTTTGAATAGATGAGTGTAAGTATAATGAGGATGATCTGGATATTAAATAGTTCCTAACATTATTTAATTGAGGTAGGTTTTAAATATTAGAATCCTCATCTTTTTAGAGTATGAAATTGATATTTAGACAGGTCAAATAACTTGCCCAAGAACACACAGCTACAAAGTGTCAGAGCTGAGACGTCTTCTGCTGTGCTAGTCCAAGGTCATGCTCTTGACTCAGTGCTATACTTATTGATAAATACAACAGAAAATGAGGAATAGGAACCCGAGTTCAGCTTATATTTCTCCTGGTCCTCTGCTACAACTGCGGTTGATGTTTCTGATGGTAGCAGGACTACAAATACTAGTTGTTGTTGTTGGTTTTTTTTTTTTTTACATTCAGAAAGAAGAGGATCGTGTCCTCATCTGTAAAATAGAAATGAAAATGCTACCAATCTACCTTCTTTTGATGGTAATTTAAGGCTAAAATAAGATAATCGACATGCCACATATAAGTCACAATACCAAAATCATGGGGGATTTTCATGTATTAATTATTACTACTTGGAGGTACTAAAAGAAGATCTGAAGTGGAGAGACAAAAAATGTCCTTACTGATTAGAGAAGCAGGAAGAAGGCAGTCAAGAAGGAGCTAGAACATTCCTTACTGACCTAACTCAGGAAAAAAAAAGAAACGCAATATTCTGTGGTTCCCCTGTTAACAGATAACAAACACCCACTACACAATTAAAGAATTAAAAGTTCATTGACTTAGCCATACTACATTTTCTTTTAAAACAAAAATCATAAGGACAAAAATCTGCTGATGCTGTGAGATAAAACCGATGATTCTGCAGTCAATTTGTTTTGTACCTGTGTGGTTTTACCTTCCATTCACCCACTGAGACATTACAATCAGTGTATCCTAGGGATGATTGGAGATAAAGTAGGCAGAGGAAATTAGGTTAATGAGGAAGCATAGAGAAAGGCAGTCCTGGGACCTCCTGTTCTTCAGAATATACAGGTCTTTAAACTGTAATCAGGTAGCACAGTTAGGAATATTCTCAAAATTTACTTTCACCACTGGATTCCAGCTTGTAATATTCAATTACTATAGAAAATGATGATCAGAATGGACTTAAATTCTGAAACTTCACTTAGGGATTTTATTCAGGTTATCTTCTTCCTTTGTTGGCAATATAGCCATCAAATCTCCATTAGGGAGAGATACCCAGGTTTCTTGGTCATGGTTGTGTCTCCACTGTGAGTGTCACACAAGACATATAAGTCAGTTAACAAAAATATTTCCTAAATGAAAGAATGCAGATGGCTGACTGGGTTGAGCTTTGGAGTCACTCAGATCAATATTTAAATCTCAGTTGAGGTACTTAGCAAATAAAAGACAGCCTCAGCCTCAATACGCTCATTATTTAAATTGATAGAGTCCTCACAAGGGAGTTTTAAAGATCTCATGATAATTTACTTAAAGTAATTAGATTGCCTGGCACAGCCAGTTTTCAATAAAGCATGGCCGTTATTATCAAAGTTGCTAATCATTGAAATGGCAATACCAAAATTGGCTGTAATTTTATTTTCACTAGTTTTTGATTGTTTGTAAAAAGAGAGATCTGTATGTGTGTTTAGAGATAACCTATTCTAGAGATTTAGGAACCTATCCAACAACCACTTTGTCTTTTGTGCTGCTACAGCAGAATGACTGAGACTGGGTAATTTATAATGCACAGAAATGTATTGGCTCACAGTCCTGGAGGATGGGAAGTCCAAGGTCAAGATGCCAATATTTGGCAAGGACCTTCTTGCTGCATCCACACATGGTGGAAGAAGAGGGTGAAAGAAGGGGCTGAACTTGCCCTTTTATGGTGGTACTGATCCCACCCATGATTCGGGAACCCTCGTGACCTAACTCTTACAAGTCAATGGTACTTAAATTTTAACATGAGTTTTCAAACCATAAAACACCTCCAAGGTGGTTTTTAACTTTACTTATTAATTGATTAAATTAATTAATTAAATTGGGTCCAAAGAACAATTGCTAAGCATTTACTATGCGCTAAGATGAATGAGTGCTTTTCTTCATTTCAAAGTCTTCCCATTGCTTTAGTCTCTGGAGATCAGCTTTCATGGTGCCTATACTTGAGTGATGAGTAGCAAGGCCATGTGAAGTCGAAGAGACATGAACAAGAAATGTGACATGGTTCATGATGGCTGAAGGGAAATATGGCTGCTAATAAATTTGCAGTCAGATCATGGAAGACTTTAAATGATGAAGTGAAATATTTGGACTTCATTCAAGCCTTTTGGAGAGAAATGTCAAAAACATTAACCTCACAATGAAGTGAAAAACAAAGCTAGAAGTCTTGTTGTAGATAACAAACTGACTCAAGGAACACACATATTGTTAAGACTGGAAGAATGGCATTTAAAGTTCTTTCTAGTAGTGTTTGAAATATATCAGAAGGAAGGAAGTCTGGAACTAAGGTCATAAAAGGTAGGAAGCTATTTCAATAGGTCAAGAGTGAGGTAATAAGAGGCTAAACCAAGGCAGAAAAAAAGACACATGAGATATGCTGGGTGGTGCTCCACGACTCTTCATAACTTTGGGCTAACTCCTTTAAAGCCAGGGAATTTGGTTAAATAAAAAAATGGAAATCCACATCTGTCTCAACATTTGTACTTTCAGAGGTATAAATGTTTCCATTTTAAAAATTATACATGAAACAAATAGCAAGTTAATCTGGCATACTGTCATGCTAGCCAGAAATGTGTGTGAGCAGTTTTGTAAACTGTGCCTTCTTTTCCATTCTAGCATTACTCTGTCTTTTTCCATGCTGTCCTTGTCTTCCTCCTGGATTTTCAGTTGACTCCTCCCTTAAACTTTAGATTTAGCTGGCAAGTACAAAACCCCTTGCAACCAGCAAGACATATTCTTCTAACTTTGAATCTGGCCCATTTTTGTGTGATGACACTTTCCTAAAGAGACTAATATTGTATCTGTGAGAAAAAGTCCGATGTGTGACTTTTCATTATAAAAATATCCACTGAGTACATAACATTACTCAAAAAAACAAGAAAGTGTACAGAACAAGTAAACAACTAAAAGGGCAGCAAGACAAGATGAATGTTTCCTAGTCAAAACATGAGAATACATTTTGTTATCTGTGAAATGTAGAAAGGTTATCCCGAGAGATAGCTAAGGTTAAAAAGTACTATGAGAGATACACTCACACACAATTATAGATAAATATACTAATAGAGATATATAAATACCAAATTCATCATATTCACTCTTCCCCAATGGCTGCTCTTTTGTATCCCACCCAACTCCACTCTATTATTCATTGGGTTATTAAAATCAGAGACCTGGGAAGCACACTTAACTTGTCCCTTCCCCTAATCTCCCATACCTAATTACTAAAAATCTTCTAGTTATATTCTATTAACTAAATTTACCTTGCCCTTACCTAATTCCTTTGCCCTTACCTAATTTGTATAGGATAAAGTACAAACTCTTTAGTATGGCATAAAGGTCCATTAGATAGAGCCACATTACAACCTTATCTCCTATCCTTCCCCCATTATATACACATGAACTTGCTGTTCCCTCTGCTTGGAATGATTCCAAAAAGGAGCAAGGATCATTTCCTCTGAGAACCCTACAATGCTCCCTGCAGCCCAAGCATACTTTCTTAAAGCACTTAATACTTACCCTCAATATTTTCTATAACTTACCTGCCTCTACCACTAGACTTAATGAAATTCTTGAAGTTAGAGATGTTGCTGCATCTATCACAGTGAGAATCATCCAAAGCACGCACAAGCACACACCATTTATTGTCACTGTTAATATGACTTTACGATTCAACTACCATCATTAGCATCTCTTCACTATTTCAAGAGACTTCTGCCCAGGAAGATTACCTTACAAGTGATAATACAGTATTGTTCATCCCCGGAACTTCTCTGAAATCCATCAATTCTTCACTAGAAAATATTAACCAGCAGTTCACATCCTGAGATTCTTTACATAATGAATGTAGATGAAATAAATATATTTAAATATATTACAATTATAGTAATGTAATAGGGAATGGAGGAGACTTATTAATGAATAAAATGTACAAATTAAAGTACACTTTACTCTCTTTCTCTATAGTGTCTGACAATTATTCCCACTACTCAAAGTAAAAATACCAAGACAATGAGAAGGAGAAAATCTTCACAATTTTCTGAGCTCTGTAAAGAAATGCTTTTTTTCAGGTAAATCTTTGATCAAAACAAAGGCATGGTCAAAAATATCCTTAAACAGTCAATCCTGCACAGTGCTTGAGTCTATGCAACTACCAGTGACATGGAAATTGACTGATGGTGATTTTTAATATACCAAAAATTTTTAGAACAAAAAATAACCACACATACGCTGATCTGCTTAAAATACAATACATGTTAGTATTTACTGGGCTTTCATTCATCTCATCTCCTTTTCTTCTTTTACTCAATTCATTTTACCTAAACTCTCACCCTTTGCTTACTTCTAATAATCTTTCTCTCTGTCCTGTAGCAAGCATGAACTGCCATCAGAAAAATTGCCTATAAATTCAGCTTTCCCTTTGGTTAGTCTCTATAACCTTTTTGCTTTAAATGAAACTTGGCAGTGCCCTGAGAACACAACTTACCCTTGATCCTTCTCTCATACTCTATCTTGGTTGATTCCAGTGCTACAGAGAAAAAATGCACAAGATAAGCTTGGAATATCTTGTCATACACATAACAAAGAAGATAGTGAAGACACCCAAGGTCATATTAGGAGGACCCAGGAGCTAACTTAGAGAGGCTTTCAGTGGTCAAAGATAGGAACATTTTAACATCATTAAGAATAACACTACAATGGCGAGGCATGGTGGCTCATTCCTATAATCGCAGCATTTTAGGAGGCTGAGACAAGAGGATTACTGGAGTCCAGGAATTTGAGAACAGCCTGGGCAACATGGTGAAACCTCATCTTTATTAAAAATACAAAAACTAGTTGGGCATGGTGGTGCACACCTATAGTCCCAGCTACTCAGGAGGCTGAGGCAGGAAGATCCCTTGAGTCCAGGAGATTGGGTCCACAGTGAGCTGTGATTGTGCCACTGCACTCTGGCCTGGGTGATGGAGCAAGACCCTGTCTCAAAAATAAATAAATAAAAAGAATCATACCTACAATGGATTAAAGCATAGCAAATATGTTTAAATCTGTGAGTTCCTAACTATACTAAAAATTATTGGGGATGCCAGGGAATCATCTCATTATTTTGAAAACATGATTTTGAAACAATCATGTATTTACATGAGCTGTAACACTGTTCTATTAAATAGGAGATGAAGGAAAATTTCTGTTTGTAAAACTGTTCTAAGGGATTTCCAATCTCAGCCATGCATGATAAAATAGCTGGTATTGAACTAACCCTTCTGCCAAAAACAACTATAAAAGCTGGTTGACATACAAATCAACTGTTTGAAGGCATTGGCAAACAAACAGTACAGGCTGGACTTTCTCAGTCCCTGAAAGAAGGAAAGCACATATGGTGAGGTCTGTATTCATGCTATGACTTTTTTCTGAGAGCATTTTTCAAATAATGACTAAGGGAAATATAGCTCAAACCAAAAGTGACAGTCTTATTGGACTGAGAGGAAAGAGGTCTGAGTTCAGAGCGGCCAATATGGCTTGGAATTGAGTCTCAAAATTTCAGATAGTAAACAGATTGAGAGAAGGATACAAAAATCTTCATTCAAATTCCTCAACTCATGTTACCAACGCTAGCACAAATAGTGACAGGTGGGTAAATGGAGTTAAACTGTTGAGCATTTTTATATTTGACAGTAACTGGTGAAGTTACTAATTTAAGACTGCAATAAGATATGGATGAATATATTATAATTATATGGAAAGCACTAAAAGAATTTTCTTAAATATGTAACTAAAAAACTGATAGAGGGAATATGGAATAATAAATGACACTGATTAATCCAAAATAATTCAAGAAAGGAAAAGTAAAATATCAAGGACAGATAGGACATACAGAAAACAAATAGCAAGTTGGTAGACTTAAATCCAACTATATTAGTAGTTATATGAGATACAAATGGACCAAAGACTTCAATTAAAAGACAGAGACTGTCATACTAAATTAAAAAAAAAAAAAAAACGAACAATCACCAGCCTGGGCAACATGGCAAAACCTCATCTCTACAAAAAATATATAAAAATTAGCTGGACATGGTGGCATGCACTTGTAGTCCCAGCTTCTTGCTGGGGCTGAGGTGGGAGGATCACTTGCACCCAGGAGGTCAAGGCTGCAGTGAGCTGTGTTCATGCCACTGCACTCCAGCCTGGGTGACGAAGTGAGACCCTGTCTCAAAAACAAAATTCCACAGTATGCTGTTTACAAGAGACACACTTTAAATACAAGGGCACAGAAAACTTGAAAGTAAAAATATACACCATGGAATGGTATGGAAAATATATATACCATGCAGAAACTAAACAGGAGGATGCTAGTATAATTTTATTAATACCAAGTAACGTAGACTTTAAGATAAGTGTATTAGTCCGATCTCAGGCTGCTATAAAGAACTGCCCAAGACTGGGTAATTATAAAGGAAAGAGGTTTAATTGACTCACAGTTCTGCATGGCTGGGGAGGCCTCAGGAAACTTACAATTATGGCAGAAGGGGAAGCAAACATGTCCTTTTTCACACGGTAGCTACAGAGAGAAGCAGGGAAAAGCCCCTTATAAAACAATCAGATCTCATGAGAACTCACTTGTTATCATGAGTACAACATGGGAGAACCACCCCCATGATCTAATCACCTCCCACAAGGTCCCTCCCCCAACACATGGGGATTATAATTCAGATTACATTTCAAGATGAGATTTTGGGTGGGGACACAGCCAAATCATGTCAATAAGTATTACTGGAAATAGTCAAAATGATAAATAGGAAAATAAAACATTCCTAAATTTGTATCACCTAATACAGTATATAAAGACAACAGTGACAAATCCACAATCATATTTGGAAATGTTACAATCACTGACAGAACAAGCAGACACAAAATTCAAAAAATCTGTAAGAAAATAGAAAATTTGAACAATATAATCAACCACCTTAACGTAATTGACATATAGACAACACTATAGCCAACAACTGCAAAGTGCACATTTTTTCCAAGCGCACTTAGACATTTACCAAAATAAACTAAAGCAAATCTCAACAAATTTCAAAGAATTGAGTATATTCTTATAGAGTATGTTCTTTGACCAGAGTGGGATTAGACTAAAGGATGGGGACATAAAGATACTAGAAAATTCCTAAATGTTTGGAAATTAGCAATATACTTCTAAATAATCTATTAATAAGAGGAAAAAATGCAATGGAAGTCACAAAAATAGTACAGGTTCTTACAAATCACTTTTGTAAGTTGATATGCTTTTGAATTATCCATTTCATACAACAGATTTTTGGAAAACTTTAGAGGAAGCTTGTGGTCTTACTCCATTTCTCTAACCTTTTTTTTTTTCCAATTATAATTCCAGCAACTACTAGACTTACGTTTTTAAAGAACTGTGAAGGGTCTGTCTGAGATTTTTTTCTACTTGCTAAGAAGTTAGCCTATTACAATTTTAAGATGCTGGAAGAAGGCTCAAGACTCCTGGGTCAGAGCTAAAGAAATTTATTTCTTACAACACAGCAAGCAGCATGAGCTTCAAGTTTTTCATTGGTTTCCATGTCTTCCAAATCTCATGGGAGTGATATGGTGCATCTCAGATGGATGCAGCTCACTAGGGTGACCACCTCCCTCATTTACCTAAGACCAAGGGGTTTCCTAATATTCAAGATTTACTTTACTGTAAACAGGAAAGTCTCAGGCAAATTCTGACAAGTTTGTCATCCTGTACACACAAGACTTATATAAGAGCTGAGATTCCCTGAGCTTAGGAGATAGCAGACCTTTAAAGGGACTGCCAGTAACTTGTCCATCCTTTGCCCTGGAAAGAGACATTATCTTTATTATTCTAAATAGAAAGCAAATCTGTCCTTTGCTTTGGAGGGAGACATTATCTTTACCTTCCAAAACTGTTTGCCATGCAAACACACTTAAGAAGACATTTCAGAATAAAAGCTGTCCATGTATCTGCTCTGAAGATGTACAGAAATGCAAAAGATCTGTGGAAAATTGTTTCCCAACAATATTTTTATAAAATTACAGTACAGTTATAGCACATTCATCTCTACTAATCTGTATGCTGGCTTAGAAGAGGAAAATCCTACACTCTTCTAAATTTTCACCGAGTTTCCTTTCTTAATAATCCAATACAAAATGTTTGCTCATTATTTTTAATAGGAAGTTTGTGAAAGGCACCTAAGTATACTGAAAGAGGTCCTCTATCTCTCAAGAATAAGTTGCTATTTTGTCTCAGTAGCAAAGATTTAACAAAGAAAAAGATATTTTCTACTGTCACAATCATCCAAGGACATACTAACTAAATCCTTCCCTTGGCATCTAGCAAAAGAGGTCAGGGTCTGTGAATAAGGCAAGGGAATTTAGGAGTGGGAGGAGTAAATCAGAAAACAAAACCAAAACCAAAAAAAAAAAAAAAAAAGAAAAAGAAAACCCCGTGTTCCTTTTGGTAAATGAAGCATATCCTAGGAGATCAAACTAATCTGGACTTTATGGAAATGTGTGCAGTCAATTTCCTTGGAATTCATCAGCCCGTAGGTTCTAGTCACTCATATTGACTGTAATAATGCAAATTTCAGTGTTCTTTTCCCCGACCCAGAAGAATTTCAGTGTTCTTTTTCCCCACCCAGGAGAATTTCTAGGAATTCCAGGGGAGGTTTCACAAGCACTCATCTAGTCTGTTCTTACCGTTCGTCATCTTTTACCACTGGGTAAACACTGCATATCATGACGTCTCTGGGATGCTGGGGGCCTCCCACCACAGCTGAGGCCTGAGTCCCACAAAATACAAAGCCTCACCACATCGTGTTACTGCATTAACTTTCTATTGCCGTATAGAAAACTACCACAAACATGGTGACTTAAAATAACACAAATTATCTCACACTTCTGGAGCTCAGAATTCCGGCATAGCTCAACTGAGTTCTCTGCTTAGGGTCTCTCAAGGCTGAAATGAGATGTTCACTTGGCTGAGCTTTTGAATATGGAGGCCCTAGGAAGGAAATCTGCTTCCAAACTCATTCAAGTTGTTGGCCAAATATGGACTGAGGTCCATGTTTCTCTGCTGGCTATAGCCAGGAGCCACTCTCAGCTCTTTAAGACCACCTGCATTCTGTGGCACAACCCGCCCCTCCCTAATCTTCAAGCCAGCAACCGTGCGTCAACTCCCTGTCATGTTTTAAATCTCTGACTTCCTCTTCTGATCCTACAGAAAACACTCTGCCTTAAAAGGGGTCATCTGATTAGATCAGGCCCACCTTGATTATCCCCATACTTTAAGGTCAATTAATTCACTTGAGACTTTAATTACATCTGCAAAATCCCTTCAAAGAAGTACTTGGATTTGTATTCGAATGAATAAGCAGAGGTCAGAAATCTTGGGTATGGATGCATCTTTAATTACATCTGCAAAATTCCTTCAAAGAAGTACTTGGATTTGTATTCGAATGAATAAGCAGAGGTCAGAAATCTTGGGTATGGATGCATCTTTAGAATCCTGCCTCCCAGTTACTGTGTGAAGATCCTCTTTCATCTCTGCTTCCCACTATTTTGGAGAGGTGCAGTAAAAAGCAATGTTTGTGCATTTATATGTAAGAATTTTTCGAAGATCAGATCTTTGGGGATTTATGTATAGACCCATTGCTCTCCATAGTATTTCAACCAAAACATAATAGGGTCTTTGCTACAAGTCAAATGAAAATACAAATGTTGATGCTATATACAGAATCGCACAATCACGCAGACAACTAACGCTTTATCACAGAGTCAGACTCATCCTCTCTTAGGACAAATATTTTCTCGGAAATCTCAGTCCTTCAGGAAAACTCTTTTGAGGAGATGGCCTTACCAGTACACCAGGCACGCCCAGACCTGTCTGAATTCCAGTTAAGTCTACAGCCTGTTCTCTTACTCTATTTACATACTATTGATAAGGAATCTCCAAGCTTCCTGTCTCAGAGAATATCAAGCGCTCTGAGCTGCTGCTTTCCGAGGAACACAGAGAGCATGTTTCTTGCTCAGCGGCTAAATGTCTGACTTGTCATTTGAGACAAATGGGGATTTATGCTTCTCTCGTTTCTGTGCTTCCTCAAAGGACAAGCATCAGAGTTTTTGTGCTTGGAAAGAGTAAGGGCAAAGTACCAATTAACCAAAACACATTGCCAGAAAGGACAGGTAGAGAACGATTCAGTGTCATTTCTGCAAGAAGATCTGCAGGTCCAGAGCCAAGTAAAAAAATTAGGCCTTGTTTTCTAAATATAGCATGGAGAATAGCAGAATCAAAACAAGAATGGCATTTGCATTATGGGAAGGAATGATTTAGACCTTTCCTTTTACTTTTTTCATCCAGTTTGCTTTAAACACACAGCTCAGTTGTGAACTGACTGAACTGTGAAGAAGGCAGACAGAAATGTAAGTGGGAAAAAAGGCCACCAACCAATCTTTAATATTTTTCAACTTTGATTGGTAACTGATGTTGGATAAAATCACCCTTGCCAGAAAGTAACTTCAAAAAGCAGGACACAGCACTAGTACTCAGGCTACATAATATGTGTCATATTTTTTTTTCAAAGTCTAAGATCCACATAATGCTGTTCATTGTTTGGCAAAAACAAACAAGTTAGATTTTGTGTCTTGACTTCTGAAAACATGTGGAAAATAGCCAAATAGATTGGTCAGTATATTGTATGTTTTTAAGGAGTTCTACTAAACCACTCATTCAATAGACAGTTGATAAAATCAGCCAACAAAGGCAATGAAGAATTTAATTTCAGAATTTTATTTTCCTTTTATGAGTCTCAAGATAATTTACGTAGAAGAGAATGATGGGCATGAGGAGAGATACCTTCCAGGTTTATATTCTACTCCCCCTCAAAACTAAGGAATCTGAGCCACAACCAGGTTATATGTTTATGCTTAACCAAGGAAAAATGATAGAATCTCCTATAACAGATATAATAATCCTATAATAATTGTCCATTCCTAACTCTGTGGTTTCAAATCAGAACAAAAATGAAAAATAAAGTAAGTGGATACATGGGGAAAAGGAGAGGCTATTTTCTGTCTGTGAAGAATTAAGGTAATGAATTTTCACAAGAAGAAATTTGACATCGAATCTAAATTATTGGAAGACAAGTATATATAAATCATTTCCATATTTATGCTTAGCCAGCCATGGCTTCCAAAAAATAGGTGCAAGTATTAAAATTCAGGTAAAATGAGAAGTAATAACCCAAATCACTTAAATCTTAGCTTCTGTTAACCATAGATAAAGACGTAAATAGTACTTAATAGCTGAAAACTACCAAAAGAGCTTTGAGATGTAATGGTTAAGTGTTGGGACTGGAAGTCACATAGACTCATGTTTGGTGCCTAATTCTGCCCTTTTTGTGACTGGGTAGCTATAGGTATTTTTCTTAACTTCTCTGAGCCTCAGTTTCCTTGCCTATAAGGTATAAAGAACACCTTTCTTGTTTTTCTACTGCATATGTCTTCCATGGCCTCCTTTCTTCATTCCTCCTATTGTGAGATAATGTGGCAGAGACTGACTACATAGTCCCCAAACCTGTTTCTTATTTCTGGGCCAGCAGCTGAATGATGGTGTCCAATAGCCATGCATCCAGGTGGCCCATATGACAGGCCTCTCCAACAGAACAGAAGCAGAAGTTATGTGTCTCATCCAGTATGAGGCAGTTTCTTTTCCCCTCACAGGGTAATCTTGGAGGCCACATTTTGAAGATGGCAGAAATACTACATAGAAAGTCTAGATCCTTGGGTCACCATTTGGAAGAGAGCTGCCTGACCAGGAACATATGTAATTGACTCTGCCTACGTGGAAAATAAATTTATACTATAATAAGCCATTGAGATTTTGGGGTTGTTTGTTACAGCAGTATTATTAACCCTGCCACTGAAATTGGTACTTCAAAATGGAGCATTGCTATAATAAAAACATGAAATATGTGTCACTAGCTTGGCACGTGGGCAATGAAGAGCAAGAACACAGTGATAACAGGCAGAATGCCTACAGAGTCATACCATACAGTGACATAATATCTATTAAAATTGTCATCTGCCATAAAATGGAAGGCGTACTACATACCTACTTAGCAAGTAGGTTTACGGGGAGAGGTTGGAAAACGGAGAATGAATAGCATGCGTTGGTTGTTACTGACTGCTGGCAGCAAAGTATTACAAGAAAAAAGCTCAGGAAAGGACTGGCCAGTTTGGGGAAAGACTTTAAAGGGAATGAGGAGTACAGAAAGTCAAGGGCTGGCTGGGTGGAAAAGTCAACTATTTCTGAACTTGAAATCATAGAAGATGATATTTAAAAACAGACACGAAGCCTAGAGGGAAGCCTAGTACCCTCTTGGATAGAATGACTCAGCCTTTCAGCAAAAAGATATTAAGACTGGTGTTCCCACTCTAGCCTGGCAGCTTCAAGGTTGCCATCATTAAGTTGAGTATGTGAGACAGTGAGCTGAAGAAGCAAAGTAAAGCACCCTGGAGAACTATATCTAGGAAGGTACTTTGGGTTTGATAAACACATGAAAATGAGTAAGTAGAAAGCTACTACATTTTTTTGAGAAATACATTGTCCAGTACCAGAAGTCTGAAATTAAAATGTCGGACTTTCAAGACTTACAAAAAGCTTGAGCCTTTAACTTCCATGAACAAATAAAGTTAGGAAAGTTGTATAACTCCCAAAGAGGGCTTACACTTAATACCCAGTTCAGAGAAGGCCATGGAAAATAATAAACTTGGAAGAAACTGCTAGAGGGCAAAGCCAGGGGTCACAGAAAGCAACAGACTAAAAAAAAAAAAAAAAAATTCTCAAGGACAGTAGAAATTGGCACTAATCAAAGGACTTCTCCTACTCCAGACTGACAAATCCTCACAATATTGGCTAAGTGGAATTTCAGAATTGCCATAGCCTAATGATTTTCCTGTGTCTTTCATTCTACCAATTTTTTAATGAGAATATTTACAGGTTGTCTTGTGCCTGTTTTACTAACTGTGCATTGGGGATGGAGGGTAGCAAACTGATCACTGTCTTTTCAGATCATGGGCTACACAACCATAAGGAGCCACATCTAGGACTAAAGGAGAGAATTTCACATCACTTGAACATCTTGGACCTAGAACTAGAAGCAGGGACTGACTCGATGAGATCTTGTGTTTTCCACTTAAGAAAGGGGCTCATTTATTCTATGTGTGGGAGGAAGCATGAAATTGGTATTTGATGACCAAAAGGGCAAACTATGGCAGAAGCTTATAGCTTATATGATACTTATCAAATGTTTTGTTGTTGTTGTTGTTGTTGTTGTTGTTGTTTTCTCCTGGGGATACTGGTAAGCTACATTTCCAGCCCTCTTGTGTGTAAGATGGGAACATATGTCAAGTTCGCACCAATGTAATGTGAGCAAAAGTGATGTGTGCCTTCCTGCCTGAGGCAGTTGAGAGCAGACGTGTCTTCTTCACACTATCCATCACTCTGAGGCGACAGTAAAGGCCCTTGTTGAGGATATCAGAGCTTTCTATGAAGGAGAGAAGGCCTGAGTCTCTGACACAGCAGCACTTGGAGGAGAGCCATTCAGGAAGACTGCCCAACATCTGCATTAGACTCATGTGAATGAAATAACTTGTATTATGTTAAGCCACAGAAATTAGCAAATTGTCCGTTACTCTGTTAGTAGCCTCTCTAAAGAATAGCTGTGTCTCAAATAATTTGGCCCTCCTTTCCCATTAGAGTTGATGGCCTCAGTATGGTTACCTGACCAAATTATCTTACCTAGGAATTTGAAGGTGGAACATGTACTAAGTCAGTTTGCTAGGAAAAGCCAAACTTTAAATCGATGTGGCACCCGGGGGCCCAAATGGTAAATTAGTGCCATAAGCAAGATTAAGTTGTAGAGAAACAGAAAATCCATGGGGAAGAAAAAAAGAGACAAAAACAGAAACCAAAAACAAGGTAAGTTTTCAGGGATAAGCAGGAGACAGATTAAATTAGCAGAGGAGAGCTATGAATATGCCACGCCCTGTGGCAGCCATGGATATGCGCTCCTTGAATCTCCCGTTAAACAAGAATTCGCCAACCATTAGCACCTCCAAGATATGCCTCAGCCTTTAGCTGAGGTTGTGTTCTTCCTGAGAAGCTTCAGCCAATTACTGGGCACACTGTGGGTGTGAGGGCCTGGCCTTTAATGCCTCATGTGAGACTCCTCAAATGGTAATCTTTGCTCACAATCTTTGCCCATTGTTGGATTGGTTGAGACTTTGTCAAGTCTGCATCACGGTTTGAGGTTCCCCCTGCCCTATCTGAGTTCTTCATTCTTTCCTTTCATGTCAGAGCAACAGCGTGATATGAAGGTTTTTCCTCCCCACTCTTGCTTCCTCTCCGTTTTATCTTTCATAGGCATTTCTCCTCCAATAAACCTCTTGCACTTTCAAGTCCATTTCAGTGTTGGCTCTTCCATGCCAGAATCTAAAGTCATTTTAAGATTTTTAGAGGTTCTAGGTATGAAAAAGATTGTGGTGTCCCTAACTGTAATTGTAAATATAAATAATATTTAATCATAAAATATATATGAAGCATTTCAACAAAATCCTTATTTTTTTCATAATGACTCCCCCAATGATTCTTTTGTTTGTTTGTTTGTTTGTTTGTTTTGAGACAGGGTCTCGCTCTGTCACCCAGGCTGGAGTGCAGTGGCATGACAATCATAGCTCACTGCAGCCTCAACCTCCTCAGTTCAAGCAATCCTTGCGCCTCAGCGCCCCCAAGTAGCTGGGACTATAGGCGCAGGACACCACACCTGGCTAATTTTTTTTGTAATGTTTTGTAGAGATGGGGGTCTCCGTATGTTGCCCAGGATGATCTCAAACTCCTAGGCTCAAGTGATCCTTCTGCCTCAGCCTCCCAAAGTGCTGGGATTACAGGCATGAGCCACCACACCCAGCCCCAATGTGTTTTTGCTTATTATTTTGAATTTGAAATTTCAAATCCCCCCCAAAAAAACTACCTCTATTTTGCTTGATCTTTAAATACATACTTATTATACCTTTGGGGTAATACAGAACTGCTTAAGCCTCACTTTGGGCTCAATCTTCACCCCAGTGAAGTTAAAATCTGAAATGGATTTGGGCTGGGATAAGGGATTGAGCTTGTATTAGTTATATATTGCTGTGCAATAAATAAATAAACCACAAACTTGGCAGCTGAGGACAAAACATATGTATTATCTCACAGTTTGTATGGATTAGGAATCTGTGTATGTCTAAGGAATCTGTGCACGTCTAGTTGGGGCCTGTCTTAAGGTCTCTCCTTGGCTGTGTTCACAAAGCTGGGGTCTCATCTGAAGGCTGGATGGGGAAGGATCCACTTCCAAGCTCACTTAGTTGTTAGCAGCCAACAGGCTTTTGAACTGAAGGTCTCAGTTCCTCACTGGCTATTGACCAGAGGCTACCATCAATTCCTTGCTAAAGGGACCTCTTCAACCTGGCACCTTGCTTCATTAAAGCATTATGTGGAGAAATCAACAGGGAGAGTCAACTAGCAAGATGGAAATCACAGTCTTTTGTAACTTGGATCAGGGAAATGATATGCCCTCAATGTTGCCAGGGAAGAGATCACACGAGGCAATAAATATCAGGAGGTGAGTCTCATTGGGGCCATCTTAGAGGCTGCAAAAATTTTTAAAAATTTATTATATTGATTAGTTGAACATTTAAAATGCTAAAAGTTGAACAATTATTCTTGGTACACATTAATGCATTTTAATCAGTTTCTTTGCTTTTAACATCATGTCTGGTATTTTTCTGAAGAATGTGTTTTTTAATATAATATTTAAATCTTTTTTAAATAAGATTACCTCCAGTGTTCTTAAAGTTACATTTTGTGATTAATAAAATTGAAATCATTATATTCTTCATTGGAAAAAATGAAAAAGGAACAAATCTTAAACCAAATGAGACAGTGGCATAAATCAGGACCTCTCTGGGCAGAGTAGAACAATATGTACTTCTTAACTACAGAAGCAGAGAGAAAGGGAGAGATAGAGATAGATAGATAGATATAGATAGATAGATAGATAGATAGATAGATAGATAGATAGATGATATTGATTTCCCATGCAGATGTCAACCGTCCTCATAACTGGAGGATATCATATTTCTAATGGTGAAACACTAGCAGCAAAAAGTAAGGGATACCAATTGTGAGAAACAAATCACAACTGCACATCAAATGTTTGCTGACATTGGATCTGTGCTGTCTTCCAGTTGTGCCATCCTATTTTACTCCTTAAGAAATGAGGAAATTCCTATTTGGGGGCATCAACTCTCCCTCGAGAAAAACAAAGCTGCTAAGTAAGATTCCACCTAGAAAAGGGGAAAAGCATATATCAGAGAAACACATTTATACCCCCACACAAAATAATAGCATGAGCTGTGTTTTAGAGGAGATAGGGTGCCAAACCAAATTCACTCCTCTTAAATCAAAGCTTCCCCAAGTGCAAGTACATGGCCACATTGGGGAACCAGATCCAAGTTAGAGAAAAAGGAAATTTAGTGACAATGACTGTTTCTTTTACCCTTCAGGGAAAAAAATCCAAGTAGAAAGCATCTCTTTTCCAGTTCAGGTTGAAGAGTCCTTTCCTCCTGTCACATGTTTAGTTGTCCCCTGAGGTTAGCGGTGCAAGCTCACACTCTCCAGAAGAGCCACACCAACCCAGCCTAAAATGGTTACTTAGCTTCATTAAATCAGGTCACAGTGAAAAGGATAAGCTTTAATTATCCACTGAAGTGATCTTTGAATCCAGTATCTCTGTTTTCTCAACATGATCTCGTAGCAGGAATTATTTCTCTCAAGAACCACAAGAGGGAGTATTCTTACTTCTTTGTCACTGTCCATCTCTGACACTGGATAGACAGTACCCTTCTGCGTTTTTTTAATGATAAGACATATTATTAAACAAGCTTCATTTTTATTCATCTAAAATATGAGTGATTATCTGTGTGTCTTTCCTATGTATTATATCCAGGACATTTTCTTAACCAGCCATGATAAAAGAGAAAGCAGACAGTATTTCATACTGGTTCTTTCTCTCACATTTATTATCTGGGGATTGTGAAGGAGGATTTCTTTGTCAAGTTGTGTTCAGCAAGTGCAAAATAGCAATGGATGATTCTCCCTAACTAGGAGGAAAGGAATCATTTATCTGGAAATAATTATACCACTGCTTTGAGCTAACCATCTGCCTAGTCCTTAAAAGGCTAAAAGCAAACCACAAACATGATTCTGTCCATTTTCATCATATGCCTATGAGGTAAAGAGGTGATAACTAATACTTTCTTCAATGACCAAAGTGCAGTACAAATCAGGAAAGTATCGATCTTATGTAAGATACCACATTGACTGTGTCAACTAAAGTAATATAATCTGCTAAAGTAAGCAACCCCAAATACCCACGAATTCACACACACACACATACACACACACACACACCATACACAAGGCTTATTTCTCACTCTGGTCACTGTCTGATGGGAGTTGGGTAACTAGTCTGGGCTGCTTTCTTCCAAGTGATGATTCAGTGATTCAGGTTCCTTCTATTGTGTCACTCCATCATCTTCACACTGAATTTTCTCTTGGCTGTCAAGTAAAGAGTGGCATAATTTCAGGGGCTAGGCTTGGAAGTAGTATACTTTGCTTCTGTCCCCTAGCCTGGCTAGAACCCAGTCACATGATCAACTTAGATGAAGAATGAGGCTTCCAGTATGCCAGGAAAGAGAATGCACAATTACTGAGCTTCTAGACCAGGAGTTTGTCTTGTTTTTGGTTTAGTTTTTGTTTTGAGACAAGGTCTCACTCTGTCACCTGGCTGGAGGTGCAGTGGCACCATTTTGGCTCACTGCAGCCTCCACCTCCTGGGCTCAAGTGATCCTCCCATCGCAGCCTTGTGAGTAGCTAGGACCACAGACAACAGGTGGCGTGCCATTACCACTAGTTAATTTTTGTTTTTTTTGTAGAGATGGAGTTTCACCATGTTGCCCAGACTGGTCTTGAACTCCTGGACTCAAGCGATCCACCTGTCTTGGCCTCCCAAAGTGGTGGGACTATAGACGTGAGCCACCACAGCTAATCTAGGCCTAGAGTTTTTGACATGGTTTTCATGGGATACCAAAAGTTCTGTTAGCTTAGATGGAAAGAAATTCCATTCTAACCTCAAACTGAAATTTAGCATTTCCTTCCATTATAAATGTAGGTATGATAGACACTGGTAGTGCCCAAAGCCATTTCTACTCAGTCCATCTGATTTCAGTGCAGCTGACATAAACAATTCCATGCATACTATCAGCGACTCTCTGCAGGTATGACATCTCTGTGGTTTTTGTTTTGTTTTGTTTGCTTTAAAGATTTATCTGAAGTCTTGGAAGGTCACTCAGTAGATGCAAGGTGCAGCTCAGAAGTGCGGAGGGTTAATAACCATGGGGACAACACTCAAACCATGCTAAACAGTAGTGTTTATGTAAACAGACCAGTCTCGAGTTCTTTAGCAAGATTATTCTGAGGCACATTCTATAAACTTCGAAGTTTGCAAGTAGCATTGAGTTCCAGTTATTCTCAGCAGCAACCAACACAGTAAGATTTATTGGCTTTTCTCTCTTTCTTGTCTTATTCTCCTCACTGTCTCACTTCTGTTTCCTGGGACTATCTCCCAAATAAACTACCTGCACCAAGTCATTATCTCAGCCTCTGATTTCATGACAATCCAATTTAAGCATTGGTGTGGGAAGAGGCTCTAGAAAAATGCCCCTCATTATAGACTTTGAAACTGAATTACTAAACAGTCAGATAGCAACTGTCACATGTGGCAAGTGTTGGGAAAGGAGCTAACTCCTAGATTGTTGTGGCCTCACAATGACTAAGAGGCTTATCTATGGCATATTGGGATGTGGTACAGGTGAAAGGCGTATGCTGCATCTATATCACTTGAATGGTATGGGGTAAATGTAATGAAAAGAACGGGATATGTAGGTATGACTGAGAGCCTAGAATGCCCAGCTTATCCTAAACTCTAGGTCATCAAAAGTAGTCTCTGCCCCTTGCTAGAAAAGCAGCCTTCTATTGCCAGGAGACCATGCAGTGATCTTAAAGTAGATGCTTGTAAGATAATGCTTAAGGCCTGCCCTCACTTCCCTTCATTGACTCCCCTTCCCTTCACTGACTCCCGGCCAGTAGCTAAAGACCTCAGCATAGTCCAAGCAAGGAAGAATACTTCTTGCTACAAGAGTAAATAGCTTACCAAAAGATTTGCAAATCCTGGCTCATGTGTACTGACAAAAGCTGGGAGTGGATCTTGAGAATAATAGACCTGAGGATATGGGGCATAATATAAGCCTCACAATGGGGCAGATGATTAACATGGTTGCACTCTCTCAAAAGTTAATGTACTAGCAAGGACACCTGGAGCCAGTTCTAAGATGACGCTGCAATGATTCTTTTGAGCTTGGACACGACACTGTCTTACAATAAATGAGTTAGAGATGACAGATTGTGTTCAGGGAGTTGATAAAGGGAACAAAATGATCATCAAATGGGCATCTTTAAATCGATTAATTATGTGAGCAATGAGAACCTACTGCCTGATTATGTTCCGTGGAAAGGGAAGACACATCCTTCTTTAGGGTGCAAGGAATGCACCAGTGAGGGGGACACCAGCATCACTGAGACACTCTTGGGTGACTCTACTTTGTAGCCCAGGATTGACTGGGGTAGATGCTATCTTGGGACTAGAATCCTTAGTGTCAGTGGGGATGGTAGAATTGCATAATAGTGGAGAACAACTAGTAGCATTTAACTATCAGAGGCAACATTGATATCATTACCATAACAGAAAGCAAGAGCATAGTTGCCACTTGTTTGCCTTGATTTGTAGAGATCTGTGGTCATGGTCATTAGACCATCGTGTCCTCAGAGCAAAGTATAAAAACAGTGAAAAGAACACCATATGCTTTAGCAGTCTGCCAAAAGGCTCAATGCATTAAAAAAAACAAAACAAAACAAAACAAAAAAAAAAACAGCTTTGATCAATCCTATCTCTGATAGTCTACCTACCTGCTTACCAAATATTCATTTTGCCCTTTCTGCTGTACATAGTATGCAGTCACAGTTCAAAAGAGGCAATTCAAAACAGTATCCACTCAATACATCAAGTTCATTCCAAATCTTTTAAAAATTACAAAACAATAAAATAAGTAGATATGTATTTTGTTCCTACAGTAAGTGATAAAACTCCTTCCATAGCAAGAGAAAACAGAGCTTAACAAAACACTCAGCTTCTATTTCACAAAAGTCTAGATACCTTTTGCTATGTAACAAACCTCTTCAAAACTTAGTGACATAAAATAATAGCAATATTTATATTTCCCAGAAATCTGAAATTTGACAAGGCTTGGCAGAGATAATGTGCCAAGCATCTTCTGGATTAGCTATGGATGTCAGCTAAAACACCTATACGTGCTGTCTATATGTGCACTCACAACATGGTGGCTAATTTCCAATGATGAGTTTCTCAAGAAGGAAAGCCACAAGGAAGCTGCTGACTTTTTTAGCCTGACTGTGGTGGTAGTGACACAGCATTACTTTTCAATGCATTCTATTAGTCAGATGCAAATGACAAATATAACACTGAACAATATTAAAGAGGAGGGTAGTTAAAGCAAACCTTTTGATGAAAAAAGTGTTAGGCCGGGCATGGTGGCTTATGCCTGTCATCCCAGCACTTTGGGAGACCAAGGCAGGCGGATAGCTTGAGTCTAGGAGTTTGAGACCAGCCTGGGCAATGTGGTGAAACCCCATCTCTACAAAAAATAATACAAAAAAATCAGCTGGGTGTGGTGGTACATGCCTGTGGTCCCAGCTACTTGGGAGGCTGAGATAGGAGGATCACCTGAGCTCAGGAGGTGTGGGTGGCAGTGAGCCAAGATCACGCCACTGCACTCCAGCCTAGGCGACAGAGTGAGACTCTATCTCAAAAAAAAAAAAAAAAAAAGTGATAAAAAGTTTGTGGACATGTTCACAAACCACAACATGCACACATAGTTTTCCCTTATTGATCTAACTGGCTGGCTACATGTATTAAAAAAAAATACTTGTTTGAAAATGTAAAACCTGAGGCTAATATAAGACTGGGCAGGATACTTACTGGATAGGCTCAATAATAGAATGGAAGTGACAGGAAAGAGGACTTGGGGACGGTACCTTTTGGTCTAGTATTTGTGGAATTGGCATCCCATAAGGAAAGAAAAAGAGGATGGTGCAGAAAAATATCTGAAGAAATAATGGCTGAAAATGTCCTAATGTTGATGAAAGTCACAGATTTACAGATTAAAGAAGTTTAGTCAACCCCAAACAGAATAAACGCAAAGAATTCCATGCCAAGATACATTATAATCAAACATCTGTAAACTAAAAATAAAGAAAAAAGATTTTTTTAAGCAGTGAGAAAGAAAGACATTAACTAGAAAATGGGAACAATAATTCAAATGACAGTGGATTTCTAAACTGAAATCATAGAGGCCACGAAGAAGTGACTCAACATTTTCAAGTGCAAAAGTTTCCTTCAGGAATAAAGAAAAAATAAATGCTTTCTCACATGACAGAAAACCAAGAGGATTTGTTGCTAGAAAACTTACTCCAAAAGAATTGTTAAGGGAAGTTTTTCAGATCAAAGTAAAATGAAAAGTAAAAGGAAGACTTTGAATATCAGGAATAAAGAGAAAGCAACAGAAATGGTAGATACTTGGGTAAATATAACTTCTCGAGCTCTTAAAAATACATTTGATAGATAAAAACAAAATTGTCATATTATCTGATGATTTATTTAATGTACATCAGTGAAATATGTGGGGAAAGTACAACATAAATTGAGGAATATTAAAGGACCTATATGGTGCTAAGCTTTCTTCATTCTAACTGAAGTGGTAAAATATAGATTCTAAAGAGATCATGAAAATTAAATATGCATACCTCTTGATTGACCACTACCTAAACTGTTAAAAAAAAAAAAAAGAGAAAGTCAAGCACACAATAGATAAATTAAATGGAATACTACAAAAGTTTATATAATCCAGAGGAAGGACATAAAGGAGAAACAGAATAGCAGAATATGGAAAAGGAAAAATAGAAAAAATAAAATAAAATTGTAGACCTAAATCCAAATATACCAATATTACATTAAAGGTACATAGTCTAAACACATAGAGATTGTCAGGAAAGATTTACAGAGAAAAACTGTAGGCAGGTTAAAGGTAAAAGGATGGACAAAGTATATCATGTAAACACTAATCAAAGGAAAGCTAAAGTGATAAGAAGGGATATTACATTAATATAGATAAATTTACCAAGAAGCCAAAACACTTCAAAATGAATATGGACATAACAACAGAGCATCAAAATATGTGAAGCAAAAACTGACAGAAAAGAAAGAGAAACAAACTCATAATTATATTTGACAACCTCAGTTTCTCTCAGTATTTAACAGAACAAGCAGACAAAAATCAGAAAGGATGCAGAACTGAGTAACAGTATCCACTAAGTGGATTAAATTCATATTTATGAAAAACTTCATCAAATAAAGCAAAGTACAATTTTTCAAGTGCACATGGAATAATCACCAATATAGACTATATCCTGAGTTACAAAACAAAACTTAAATTTTAAAAAATTGATACCATACAAAATATATTCTCTAAGCATAATAGAATTTAACTAGATATCAGTAACATAAAGATAACCGAAAAATTTCTAAACACTTGGAAATTAACATGCAATAAACAACCCATAGGTCAAAGAGAAAATTCATGGAAAGTTAAAAAATATATTATACCCGGCCAGGCGCAGTGGCCCATGCCAGTAATCCCAGCACTTTGGAAGGCTGAGGCGGATGGATCACTTGAGGTCAGGAGTTTGAGACTAGCCTGGCCATCATAGCGAAACCCCGTCTCTACTAAAAATACAAAAAAATTAGCCGGACTTGGTGGCACGTGCCTGTAATCCCAGCTACTTGGGAGGCTGAGACTGGAGAATTGCTTGAACCTGGGAGGCAGAGGTTGCAGTGAGCCGAGATCACACCATTGCACTCCAGCCTGGGCAACAGAGCGAAACTCCATCTCAAATAAATAAATAAATAGAGGGGAAAAATTAGTTTTTATTAACCTTTGAAAAGGTTAATAAAATTAATAAAGCTCTAGCAAAACTGAAAAAGAAGAACAGAGAGAAGACATAAACTACCAACAACAGGAGTGAAATAGGGGATATCATTACAGACTCTACAAAAATTAAAAGGAAAATAAGGGAATGCTATGGACAATTAATTATATATAAATTCAATAATTTATATGAAATGGACCAATATCTCAAAATCCATAAACCAACAACACACATCCAAGATGAAATCAATATTCCTGAGCAACCTTATAACTATTAAAGAAACTGAATTTTTTAATGAAAAAAATCTTTTAAACAAGAAATCTCTTGGCTTAGATTATTTCACTTGCATATTTAAAGATGAAATAGCATCAATTCTGTAGTCTCTTCCAGAATATAAAAGCTTAGGGAACACTTCCCAAATCTGTTTATGAGGCCAGAATTTCTCTGATATCAATACCAGACAAAAAGGTCAACAAAGTAAAATAAATCTACAGAGCAGAATCATTCACTCCTGAACACTGACATGAAAGTTCTCTACAAAATATCAGCAAATAGTATACAGCAATATATAAAAGAAATAATGACCACTGGATACCATGGCCAACTATATATCTACCACATTAACTGTCTAAAGAAGAGAGACCATATTATCATACTAAAGATGCAGAAAAACCATCTGATAAAATTCACCATCACTTAATTATTAAAAAAAAAAATCTATCAGCCAAGTAGGAATAGAAGAAAACTTCCTTAACATGCTAAAGAGCATCTACCAAAAAACAACAAAAACAATAAAAACCTCTACCTAACATCATATTTGTTGATGAAAGACTGAATACCTTCCCCCTTAGATCAGGAACAACAAAAACATGTCCACTTCCATCACTCCCATTCAACATCATAAAGATTGGATAAGGAGAAATAAAATCGGTCCTGTGTGCAAGAGATGAAACTGTCAGTGAAGAAACACCAAAGTAATCCACAAAAAACCATGATGAACTAATAGGTGGGTTTAGCAAAGTCTCAGGATACATAATCGACACACAAAAATTGATCTGTGGTAGAAATCTAACAAAATATTTGTAAAACCTTTATACTGAACACTATACAATACTGAGGAAAGAAGTCAGTGCAGTCCCAAATAAGTGGAGACATACTGTGTTTATGGGTTAGAAGATTCAGCATAATAAAAGTGTCAATTCCAATGTAATTCCAATCAATCCCAACATGATTTTGTAAACACATACAAGCTGATTCTAAAATTTATATGGAAAGACAATGAAACTAGACTAACCAAAACAATTTTGAAACAGCAGAATGAACTGGAAAGTCATTTAAGAATTACTACAAAGCTATAATAATCAAGGCAGTGTGCTATTGGTGAAGAGATAAACACAAAGATCAATGGAAAAAAATAAAGTACAGAGACAGACCCACACAAATACACAAATATGGCCAACTGATTTTTTTTACAAAGATGTGATGGCAATTTAATGGAGAAAGAATCCTCTTACAAGGGAACAACTGAACATCTATATGCAAAAAATGAATCTCAAACCTCAATACCTCTGAAGTGGACTTGGCTCAATTAAGACTTGTTGAAAAGCTCTCTGTAGGGCTATGTTACAAAGCCGTTAGATGCTAAGGGATCAAGAGACCTGATTAGCCACACTGGAACGTGACTCAGTGTGAATCCTGGATACAAATACAAAACATAAAACTACAAAACTTTAGAAGAAAACATAGAAAACCTTCATGACATGAGGTTAGACAGAGATTTTAGATGTAACATCAAAGGACAATTCATAAAATAAAAAAATTGATACATTGGACTTTGTCAAATGTTAATACTTTTGTGAAAGGATGTTGATTGAAAAGACCGCTGGACACAGTGGCTCACACCTATAATTCCAGCACTTTGGGAGGCCGAGGTGGAAGGATCGCTTGAGCCCAGGAGTTTGAGACCAGCTTAGGCAACATGGCGAAACCTCATCTCTACACAAAATACAAGAATTAGCCAGGTATGGCGGCACATGCCTATAGTTCCAGCTACTCAGCAGGCTGAGATGGGAGGACAGCTTGAGCCCAGGAGGTGGAGGCTACAGTGAGCCATGATCACACCACTGCATGCCAGCCTGGGTGACAGAGCAAGAAAGACCCTGTATCAAAAAATAAAAATAAAAAGGTTGAAAATACCATCAATTCTATAGTCTATCAATTCTAGCAATTCTATACTATCAATTCTATAGTCATTAACTGAGAGAACTCACTTGCAAATCATATATCTGACAAAGATACATATCTCATATATATCTGGAATATATAAAGAATATTAAAAAACACCCTAAACATTCACCGACAAGTAAACAAATAACCTAATTTTAAAGTGAGTGAAGTATTTGTATAGGCACTTCACCAAAAAAAAACCCCACAAAGTTTTCAAATAACCACATGAAAATATCCTCACCATTATTATTAAATGCATGATGTACCACTTCACACCTATCTGAAAAGCTAAAATTAAAAAAAACAAAACCAAACCTGACATTACCAAGTGTTGCTGAGGATGGAGAGCAACTGGAACTCTGATACATTCCTGAAATGAAAATGGTAGAGCTACTCTGGAAAACATTTTGACAGTTTCTTTTTAAGTTACATATATCTTGCCATGACCCAAAATCCCACTCCTCAATATTTACCTTAGAGAAATGAAAACAGATGTTCATACAACATATGTTCACACACACACATATGTTCACACGTGCCCAAACTGCCAAAAACTAGAACCAACCCCTCCATCAATGAGTGAATAGAAAAACTGTTTACTGTGGAGTACTATTCAGCAATAAAAGGAACAAACTATTAACACACATATAAACTTGGGTGAATTTCAAAGGCATTATGCTGAGTGAAGAAACCAGTCTCAAAAATTGATGATTCCAATTACCTGACATTCTAGAAAGAGAAAAATTATAGCTACAGAAAATAGGTTAGTGTTTGTTATGGGTTAGGGCTGGGGAAAGGGTATGGCTACAGAGAGAGAGCATGAGGGATTTTGAGGGGATGATGAAACTGTTCTGCACTTCAATTGTAATAGTGGTTACATGGATATATACATGTGGTAAAACTCAGAACTATATACCAAAAATAAAAAATGAATTTGACTGTATGTAAAATCTAAATAAATTTAAATTTATTTAAAAAATAAAATGTCAATAATTTTTAATAATTTAAACTCTAAGTAAAAAATAGTTATCATTTTCAGATCTCTAACTACATGCCAGGACCTTTCTTTTTTTTATTTTTGTTTTTATTTTTATTTTTTTGAGACGGAGTCTCGCTCTGTCGCCCAGGCTGGAGTGCAGTGGTGCGATCTCAGCTCACTGCAAGCTCCGCCTCCCGGGTTCATGCCATTCTCCTGCCTTAGCCTCCCTAGTAGCTGGGACTACAGGCGCCTGCCACCACGCCTGGCTAATTTTTTGTATTTTTAGTAGAGACGGGGTTTCACCGTGTTAGCCAGGATGGTCTCAATCTCCCGACCTTATGATCCGCCCGCCTCGGCCTCCCAAAGTGCTGGGATTACAGGCTGGAGCCACTGCGCCCGGCCATGCCAGGACCTTTCTAGCTAAAGGCTTTGTGTTCATTAACTTATTAATCCTTACCATAGTCCTGTGACTTAAGTATCCTTATTCCACAGATGAGGAAATCTAAACATAGAGAGATCAAATAATTTGTCCATGATCACACAACTAATAGGTGGCTCAGTTAGGATTTAAACTTATCTTTATCCATCTAGAGCCATAGTCTTTACCAATCATTACTTTGAGCATTGGGACAGAAAATCAATCGCTGGTAGAAGGATATGCTATTACTTTATCTCTTTTCCAAACTTTTTGAAGAAGACTAATAGTAGGATATTTGTTTTTGATGTTTAAGATGGGTACAAACTAACACTTACTCTTGGCATCAAAAGTGAAAGGAAAAGAGTTTTAGAAGTCTGCCAAATCTCAAGATATATGAGAACTGTAAAACTTTCCTCATCTACAAGGCAAATAGCTAAGAAACTCAAATAACTGACTTTTTTAAACTGAAATTTACTTTCATGCGAAAGATATAAATGACAAGTAAACAAGCTGATATCAAGAATTTCTGAAGCAATTTCAAAAATATACCCTAGGGTCAGCATATTTTCCACCTAATTTCATAGACAGTCTACTTAGAAGTGTAGAATTCAAATCAATAAGTATTTGACCACCTACTATTTATGTTCATTATGATAACTGTATTACTTCGAGATCCTGAGGTGTTTTCTGAATCATTAAAGCAAGTTTAACATTTTTCAGTATGACCTTATAATTATTTATTTTGTCATTTTCCCTCTAAAATAATTGAAAACCCATTACTATTTAGCCAGATTACTAAATTAACTATTAAATTTCATTCCCTCAATCATTTCAGTTAATAAAAGTTCAAGGTTGCTCAACTGTTTTAAAAGAAAAATTAAAATCAAAAGCAAAAACTAATCCTTGTCTTTGTTAACTATACTTCCTGGTTACTGACTTTGAGTTGTGTCATCAAGACACATCACAGCCTTTCAATTCCTTTTCTTTCATGTAACTCTAGGGTTAGAGTTGATACTAAATTATTAAAAGGCAATTTAAACTGATGTGAGGGAGCATGCACTCTCAGCCTCTTTTCTTTGCACCCATCACAAAATGTTCATGTTTTGATGATGCTGGGAGACTCTGCTCAATTTAATTCAACTGCTTCAATTCTGTAGTATTCTGCCAAACATTGTATTAGACCTTGGGAGTCAAAAATTAAGTCAAGCATGAGCCTTACTCTCAAGTTACTCAACAACAAATAGGAAACACAAGCATTTAAAATAATGGCTCTAAAAATAGACATCTCTAGAGTCTAGAAAGATACAAAGGAAGAAGTAACTTTGCCTGGGTGGGTAAACAAAGGCAGCACAGAGCCCTATAAAATCACTGAATAGATCTTAGCCCAGCCGTAACTATGTCACATCCCTCAGCTCCTGCAGGACCCATAAGGTGAGCAATCATACAGAAAACCCATGAGGTGTTTGAGGAAGTTTTATGAAATCATGCATTAATCCAGAGTTCAGCACACTTTTTCTGTAAAAATCCAGATAGTAATTATTTTAAACTGAATTCCACTCGGTCTTTGAGTGAAAGCAGCCATATGCAATATGCAAATGAATGAGCGTGGCTATGTCCTAACAAACATTTACAAAAACAGGTGATTACACTGGGTTTCAGGGGCATGGTTTGCCAATTCCTGCGTCAATTAAATCAATACAACTAAATGTATGAGTTTCAAATATAAATTACTTGGTCTTTTACTGATGAAACCACAAAAGAGTTATGCCTATGAAAAATGACCCCTCACCAATAAAATTAATAAAGACCCAAATCCTTTTTTTTGCACATATCTAAAATAGACCAGCCTTCTTATACAAACAAAATCTCCACTCCTAAGAACTTTCTTCCTGCTTAACAAATTGTTACCTTTACTACCTAAAGTTTTGGGGAATATTAGGAAACCCTGGAATTAAAGAGGAAGAGCTTCATTAATTGTGTTCCTCTTCTTACTCTCAGACCTCTGTTTTCAAGGGTCCAAGAATTTGAACAGATGGAAATGTATGTGAACTGTGTGTGGATGTTCTATGTTCCAGTGCAGCTAATCAGGTCTCTTGATCCCTTAGCAACTAACTGCTTTGTAACATAGCCCTGCAGAGAGCTTTTCAACAAGTCTTAATTGAGCCAAGTCCACTCCAGGGGTATATGCATAGAGCTTGACCCTTGATTTTGAGTGAGACAGGAGCTACCTGTTGACGCATGATTCAAACTCCTTTCATCACGGTGTCTGAAGAATAATAAAAAGTGGAGCTGAGACTGACGTAACTAGATGATAATGGATGGGGGTGGTGAGAAAAGTATGAATGCTATGACCAGATTACCCAGATTTGTAGCTAAATCTGGGATGTTACTTTCTTAAAAAGTGCATCCAGCATCATGTAGAAGCACTAAAATTTAGGTAAGTCAGCAGGTCAGAAAAAAAGCAGTACATGCTTTTTTTCAACTGCTGTTATAAAAACATAGTAAATAAATACTGTTGAATCCAAAACATAAACAGCTTTAAAAAATTATTCTAATGCTTTAGCAAAGGTAATGCTTTTATTTTATTATGAGCTGCCCACGTGTACTTCTCAGGTTGTGAATCATTTGAGCAATTTTTCAGTTAAGGAACATTTTGTTCTAGAATGAAAATAATATCAAATGCCCCTCAGTAGTGTGGGGTTAGCATAAACATGGAATGACAGGCAGTTTAATATAAAACCAGAATAATGACATCATCTTACAGTACATTGAAGCTGCTATATGATTTCTTATGCATAGCATTTTGGTTTTCATGAGCATAATTTCAGGGACCATATTTTGATGAGTCACAGTCTTGTTTACAGTGCTAACATTTTGTTCTCTCTTGTAACTATGATAGGAGTCTGAAGAGATTTTCAACTCATTCACTGAAGCTGCTACTTACTGTCTGCTGCTGATACTCTTTGCAAAAAGGATTATAGATAGCTCTGGATTTCAGAATCTTAGATATTTCCTAACCAGAGTGCAAGGACCTAAAAGCCCTTAATCGAGTTTCTAATCACAAGCAAGATGGTCCTACATTAAGGGCCCTTTGAGAGTAGCATTCATGTCATTGTATCTTTGTCCCATATCAAATAGGTTTCTTATTTTAGCACCAAAGGCAATTCTTTCCTTGTAGACTGAAGAGAAGCCCTAACCAGTCAGTTAAGGAATAGAACACAGTAGCTACCATTTTATTCTCTCTCCCACAGGACTCTGGAACCTATTTTATTTTGATGAACAGCTATATATTGAATGCCATTTTACTAGTGTTAGTTCATTTCATCCTCATAACAACCTTGTGACGTAGTTACTATTGTTATCTCAATGTACAGAGGAGAAAATGAGACACTGAGTGGGACTCAGGGATTGCTCCAGGCCACACAGTCAGCAGGAGGCAAAGCCCAGATTCAAATGCAGATTACTCAGCTCCACAATCCACATCCTCACAGGAGGCTGCACTCCTTGCCCAAGCGTCAGACAGGAGCAAAGAGAAAGAAGGCAACCAGCTGGCTACTTTCTTCCCTTCTTGGATGCCTCCAACAGGGTGAGAAGGACTAAACAAATGACCAAGTGTCATCCCATTTTGGACATACTTAAAACACCCCATGGAATTTTTATTCTGACTTTCTTCTGCCTGTGTGGCATTTATGTTTAAATAAAAGAGAATTCAACTCGTATGTCTGATATCTTCATGACTAGTTTGCCAGGGATAGTCCCCATGTACACTTTGTTGTATCGTTGACCTGTTCAGTTTAGCATTTGCTCAGGGATTTCCATTTTTAACCTAGTGCTATTAGCAACAGTTGTGTTAAACATGCTAAGATGGGTCTGGTGAACTTTGACTTTTCGAGCTTCAGTCTGGTCTCAGCAAGGAGTAACTGAGATTTTGTGCAGTGAGCAGAGTTCCGACTTTAACACATGGTTAAATCTGATTGACTTCCAACCCTCTCTAAACACAAAGTAACTAACAGCAACTTCCCAAGTACATTGCTACAAGCTGAATATTTATGTTCCCTCCAACATTCAGATGCTGAACTCCTTACCCCAGTGTGAGGGTATTTGGAGGTGGGACCTTTGGGAGATTCGGTCTTCATAAATGGGATTAGTGCCCTTATAAAAGAAATCACAGAGAGCTTCCTCTCTCCTTCTACCATGTAAGGATGCAGCAAGAAGACACCATGAACCAGGAAGTACGTCCTCACCGGACATAGATTCTGCCAGTTCCTTGATCTTGACTTCCCAGCCTCCAGAACTACGAGAAATACATGTCTGCTGTTTATAAGTTGCCCAGATTTTGATATGTTGTTATTGTAGCCTGAACAAACTAAGACAGACATCATGCAGGACTCAGTAACAAAAGGAAATGCACACAAACGCTGTCTTGGTGTTTGCTGCCCTGTCAGCTTACTGGTGGCCCATTCAGTGGAGCATGGCCGATGCACAGGTTCTTACCACAGGCCTCGCCACAGCTAACAAGATACCTGAAACTGTCAACTTGCCAGTTGGTGGAGTCTTTGAGAAATAGGGAAAAGTATAGGGTTAATTAAGATGAGATGTGCAGGGGAAATAAAGACAGAGATGTCCTAACCCATAGGTAATTGTGTTGTTGTTGTTGTTTTTGTTTTGGAGACGGAGTCTCGCTCTGTCACCTAGGCTGGAGTGTAGTGGCCTGATCTCGGCTGACTGCAACCTTCACCTCCCGGGTTCAAGTGATTCTCCTGCCTCAGCCTCCCGAGTAGCTGGGAGTACAGGCACATGCCACCATGCCCAGCTAATTTTTGTATTTTTAGTAGACACAGGGTTTCACCACTGTTGGCCAGGCTGGTCTCAAATTCCTGACCTCAAGTTATCTGCCCACCTCAGCCTCTCAAAGTGCTGGGATTACGGGCATGAGCCACTGCACCTGGCCCCTATAGGTTATTGACTATAGTACCCAAATAAGTACCAAGAAAAAAAATTCCTGCTTATATAATTTTAATATACAGATAATTCATATAAGTACTTTAAAAATATTGCTTTAAAATACAAAAGGAGCGAGACTCCATCTCCAAACAAACAAACAAACAAAATACCTATAGTTTAGGACATCTCTGTCTTTATTTCCCCTGCACATCTCATCTTAATTTACCCTATAATTTTCCCTATTTCTCAAAGACTCCACCGACTGGTGAGCTGACAGTTTCAGGTATCCTGTTAGCTGTGGCGAGGCCCGTAGTAAGAACCACCACATCGGCCATGCTCCACTGGATGGGCCACCAGTAAGCTGACAGGGCAGCAAACACCAAGACAGTGTTTGTGCGCATTTCCTTTCATTACTTCTTTATTTTAAAGCAATGGAATTTTTAAAATTATGATTATATCTTGCTATTTTATTTTTAAATAGTTTTTGAATAGAATTTATATGTTTACAAATAAAAGACAATCAATTTAGCAATCAGTTATTACTTCAAGAATTATGTAATTATAATTATAAGCATGCCATTTTATTCTCAAATTTTTATATGGTCACCCTATGTGGGGAGGAAATCCATTACACTGTAAGACAGCCCTTCTCATCCATGGTTAGAAGCTACAATTACTAGAAAGTTCTTCCTCACACTTATTCAAAATTTCCTTTCTAATAAACTTTTTAAAATTTAATTCTGCCTTCTGTACCTACATAAATTCAATTCCAGAACCTCTTCCCCAGTAGAAATATTTTAAAATATTATCTTCTGTTTCTTGTCTACCCAAGCAGATTTGTAATATTTATAATCCCTGTATATCTACTTTTTCCTACCTTTTTTTGGTAAAAGCTTTTGGAATGTTTAGTCATATAACAAATAAACATTTGTGCCTGCTTTGAGTAGGCAGCAAGAGGTACTTCTTTTTTAAAATCACTTATTTTTTTCTCCATGGTGATGGTAGTATTCTCATTTTTTCACCCTAGTGATTATTTCTTGCAGAGACAGTGAATACTTAAAAAATTTTAATGGAAGGAATAAAAATATTCCTTCAGCGAAAAGAAATAATAGCAAGATACTGAGATGAAGATTTCAATATACCAATTACAGAAAATTGGCATAGGCTTCTTAAAAGGGCACAGGTTTTCAGTTTAGCTCCACCTCATATGGTTTTGTGAGGGTTAAATAAAACAATATGAAGAAAACAGAACAGATTGGAAATACTATGTATACATTAACTCTTTTAAAATAATTCATCTTTTTAGATCTTCTTTCTGACCAAAAATAAAAAGGGAAAAATATTAAACAGTTGACTCTTACAAATATACGGGGAAATTGAGAGAAATTTAAAATTTTTAAGAGACTACAACGTATATCCTATGATAATAAATTTGAAAACCCAGATTAAACACATAAACACTAAGAAACCAAAAATTACCAAACTAATTCAAGAGGAGGTAAGAAATCTGAACTGATCCTTAGATCCAAATAGGCAGAAAGTAGGAGCATAGTATACTGCCCACCAAGGTAATTACTCCTGCATGGACTACCTCACCGAGTTATTGGATAGAGCCGTTCAGCACATAGATGTGGAGTCGTTGAATGAATCAAATTGGTAAGAAAAAAATAGAAAGATTTTTCACCCAGAAGGGCAAGAGTACTAGATGATTTTAGAGAAAGGCTCCATCAAACACTTCTGAAACAAGGAATTCTTATTTGCTCTTTAAACCAATTCCAAGCTCTATTTGAGCTATCCTAATGAAACTTGAAATAGCACCTATAAATATAGATGCCAAAATCCTAAATAAAATGTTATAAAATTATTCCAGAAGTGTAATAAAGAAATATGAAAGCAAGTTTGTTTTATATCAGTAACACAAGAGCAGTTCAATATTAAGACATTTATTAAAGCTGAAAATCACATGATTATATCAAGAGATACAGAAAAGACACTTAATAAAATTCAACTACATTCCTGACAAAAATCTCTTAGGAAATGAAAATTGGAAAACATTCCCATAATGTGATTTTTTAAAGTATTTATCATAAACCAGCAGTAAACATTATTTTAAACACTGAAAGACACATTCTCTTAAATACAGGAATAAAACAAGGATGCCCTCTTTTTATTTTAAATGGTTTTTACCTAGACTGAAAATCCCTTCAAGGTTGGTACAAGACCTTATTTGTGTTTATATCCCCACTTTTAAAGTATTTTGTAAATGGTATTCTTGTGCTCTATGATCTTTTAGTGAGTGCAAGAATCAAATTATTCAGTAGGCTAATTAACTGAAATCAACTAGTAAAAATTATAATTTCCATGTAAATTTATAAGGAGGAATTTCTCAGGAACCCCAGTTCAATATAAACTGAGAATGATGCACTCCATAATTTCTTTAATCAGCTGAAATCTTTAGTCTGTCATTCATTCCACCTTCTATAAAAATACTATTTGGTCATTTATCACAACTTTGCAGCAGTCCTCCAGATATGATCTTTGATTGGCTCTTCCTGATGTAAACCTTGTTCTTGGAAACTTGCTTCTGTTTGTATCCTTTTCTTCCCTTGTCACTTTCTGCTTGAGTCTAGTAAGCCAAAGTCAATAGAAAGAGGATAGACCAGTCAGCCCTAAGAACTGACAAGTCCAGAAGTTCTTGTCAGATCAATTTCCTTTGGACAAAGTTTGTCCTGTGTCACCTTGCAACACCTTATTAGGATCTTCCTCAGTCTTGTCTTTGTATCCTGAGAACTGCTTTATTTGGTTTTGCTGCTCAGAAGGGGAAGGTTCTCTGGATCCCAACTGGTGATAAATAATCTTTGGTCAGTTTCTAGAGATCAGAGGTTTGCACAAGCATCATTCTTACTAACCCCTGCAATCCTAATAGGATCTTCTCATTCTGTTTGCCTACCAGGTAGAATACCTCCTCCCTTCCTGTTTTATTTCATGTGCATTTCTCTCTAACTGGCATAATTCCACCAGGGACACTTTGATATTTAGTGACCATTTGGGGAAAATTTTGACATGAATAAGATTATTCATTTGAGAGGTACATTCAAAGAAAAAAGGAAGAAACCCTCATGAGGAGATTCTCTGTCTTGTCAATCTAAAAGAGAGATAACTTCCATAAAGAAGGAGAAAACTTATCTTTGCTTTTGTACTTCAGGGACTTAAGAAGTATCATTTTAAGTTATAAATTTGATAGAATTGTCAAGGGCCTGAGTTACTGTTTAAACTGGCTTATTTCCTCTCACATGCTCTCTCTCTCCTCTCACCTAATCCTGTGTATGTGCACATATACGTGTGTGAAAAATGAGTTTTCCTACATCTATGTCTTTGCCCTCTCTTATGGCCTGAATATTTGTGTCTCCCCAAAATTCATGTGTTGAAATCCTAACCCTCTATGTGATGATATTAGGAGGTGGGACCTTTAGGAAGTGATTAGGTTATGAGGGTGGAGCACCCATGAACGGAGTTAGTGCCCTCATAAAAAAGACTCCAGAGAGCTACTTTATTCCTTTTCCACTATTTGAGGATGGAGCAAAAAGGTGCCATCTATGAACCAGGAAGCAGACCCTCACAGTGTTAGGTTTTGAAGGGAAGGCAAAGGTTAAAGAAAGACACAGAGAGAGAGAGTGGTGCCTCTACAGCAAATCCAGGCTCTATGTCCAGCATAAGACCTGCAGAGGTGGGGGACCAGCTTAATGCCATTGCCCGCCACTGCTTACAGGCTGGAGCAATTATAGGCCTGGGCAGGAGGGGTCTGGGGAACACGGCCTGCTGCCTGGAAAAATGTCAATAATATGTTCTCTTGATGAGGCAGTTTGGCCCTTATTCCGGCAGAATATGATGTTCCTCGCACTTTCTCTCAGGAGAATATGATAAGAAAGTCCAGTGGCTGGGCAGGCTGTTTCTCATGGCCTGAATCCCCATGGAATGTTTTACTTTGACCAAGGTCTGGGAAATGGCGAGGGACTTACAAAATTGTGCAGTTTGGACTAACACACAGGACATCAAATCTTTTGACAATTTTATTTTGGACTTTCCAGTCTCCAGAACAGTGAGAAATAAACATCTGTTGTTTAAGCGATCTAGTCTATGGTATTCTATCATAGTAGCTTGAATGGATTAAAACACCCTGTCATAGTCTGTTTTGTAATGCTATAAAGAATATCCAAGACTGTGTAATTAATTTATAAAGAAAAAGGGTTTACTTGACTTATGATTCTGGTGGCTGGAAAGTTCAAGATTGCATCTGCATCTGGTGAGGGTCTCAGGCTGCTTCCACTCATGATGGAAGACAGAAGGGGAGCCAGGGTATACCGAGATCACATGGTGAGAGGGGAAGCCAGAGAGACATGGGGGAGGTGCCAGGCTCTTTTTAACAAACAGCTCTCAGGGGAACTAACACACTGAGAACTCACTCACCTCTGAAGAGAGGGCATTAATCTGTCCATCCACCCGCGTGACCCAAACACCTCCACCCACGTAAGCTCCACTTCCAACATTGAGGATCAAATTTCAACATGAGGTTTGGAGGGGACAAACATTCAAACCATAGCACCCCTTCCTTGCAGAGGGGAGATAATGAGCCTTTACAATGTTAATAATATATGTATCTGATGCCAGCTATTTGTATTTTTTTGTTTTTGTTTTTTCTTCCTTTCTTTCTCCTTTTCCCTACTCTTAGGAAACTTTGGAGATTCACTGATTATTTAAAAATGGTTCCATACTAATGTACACACTCTAAGAGCATCTACTCCAGATAAATAGTCAAGAAAGTCAAAAAGAAAGAGAAATATTAAACTGTGTTTCTTTTGTATGTTTTCCCAGATAAAACACTAACTCAGAGAAGAAATTTAACTGCAAATTTGGTTAATGACCATGGATTCCTAATGAGAAGAAAAGCTAGACACTGAGAGTTTAGAATAAACTCAAGAATCTTAAAAATTTTCCCATGGAACTGCCTTTGCACCTCTATAAAAAATTAATTGACCATATGGTAAGTAACATGTGAGTTTACATTGAGGATAGATGAGCCTTTGGACAAAATTAGAGTGATTTAATTTTACAATAAAAACAACTCTATGTCTTTTTCTTGGTTCTGTCATCATGTAAAAAATAATGCTTGCAAAATTTTTTATTAACACAACACTTGGGCTTAATTTCCAATAATTTCTATTTTTAAAATGTCTTCCATTAGTGTCTTGGATCTTGGAAGATATAATTCTGTCTGGAAAATTTTTAAGACAAGATAAAAAATATATATATATACACACACACATACATACATATATATGTGTATATATAAATAATTTAAATGAAATTGTCTTGACACATGTTTTTCAAAGAGTATAATCTTGTGAACTTTTCTAATACTACAAATCACAGGATTTAATCTTCTGACTTAAATTGTACTTTCCAGATATTTAGTCACTCTAAGATGTTAAACTAATGTTAAATTGTTTTATTTAATGAATAATCTTTGGATATATAATTTTTCTATAAGAAAAAACAGAAAACTTTGATTATTAGATATAATTTTAAATTTCTTTTACCTTTATACATAAAATCACTACAGATTAAGGAGATGTACAAATGTCCTTAAATTATATTAAATGCACTTACTTTGCCATCTTAAAATTTATTTAAGTAAAATAACATATATGCTCATAAAAATAGTTTTATTGATCTTGGTTACCTATCTTCTAGTTTTCTCTTGTGTCTGGAAAAATAAAAGTTGGTTAATTTTGTTAAAGGTGGTAATTAATAAAATCGACTATGCAGACATTTATACATTTACTTATACATAAAAATATATTTATGTACTTTAATCTCTATATTACTCTTCTAATTCAATTTTTAAAGTAAAGTTCCATTTTTCTGTATGGTTCTATGAGTGTAACACATGCACAGATTCTTGTAAGCTTCATCACAAATAGGTTATAGAACAATTCCACACCTTCCCCAAAATGTCTCTTTTCCTGCTCAGTAGATAGTCAAACTCTCCCCTCAGGCCTAAGCCTTGCAACCACTGATCTTCTTTCCCTCTATTTTTGCCGTTTTTAGAATGTCATACATATTTAGCCTTTTAAGATTTACTTCTTTAACTTAGTAAATGCATTTGAGATTCAATCATGTTGTTGCATGTACCAATAATTTATTTCTTTTTATTGCTGAGAAGTATTTCATGGGTTGTTTATCCATTTACCCACTGAAGAACTTTTAGTCTGTTTCCATTTTTGGGCAATATGAATAATGTGGTTCTGTTATAAACATTCATGTCCAGGTTTTTGTGTGAATATAAGTTTTTATTTCTCTACAGTTAATACCTAGGAATCAGATTCCTGGGTTATATGATAAGTGTATGTTTAACTGCCAAACATTTCTAAAGTAGCTATTTCATTTTGCATTTCCACCAGCAATTTATAGGAGTTTCAATTGCTCCACATATTTGCCAGCATTGATATTGTCATTAAGAAAAGTCATTCTAATAGGTGGGTGGTGGTATCTCATTTTGGTTTTCATTTGGAGTTCCCTAATGACTAATGATGTTGAGCATATTTGATGCACTTATTTGACAATCATATTTTTTCTTTGATAAAGTGTCTCTTTAAATCTTTTGACTTTTTTTTCAATTGGGTTGTTTTATTATTGTTGAGTTTTGAGAATTCTTTGAATATTCTGAACTCAAGTTCTTTGTTGGATATATGATTTTCAAATTATTTCCTCCCTATCTGTGGCTTTTCACTCTCTTAAAAAAGAACACAGGGCAAATGTTTTAAATTTTTATGAGGTTCAATATATTGATTTTTCTTTTATGACTCTTGCTTTTGGTGTAATATCTAAGAACTCTTTGCCTAACCTGAGGTCACAATGATTTTCTCCTGTTTTCTTTTAAAATTTTTATATATTTACCTTTTATTTTTATGAGTTAAATTTTAGTACATGATGTCAGGTAAGAGTGGATGATCATTTTATTGGCATATGAATGTCCAATTGTTCTAGTACCATTTGTCAAGGCTATACTTTTCCCATTGAATTGCCTTTGCACCTCTATAAAAAATTAATTGACCATATGGTAAGTAAAATGTGAGTTTATGTCTAGAATCCAGATACTGATCCACTGGTACTGTTCTATTGATCCTTTTGCCAATACCACAAGATCTTGACAACTCTGACCTTATAGTGAATCTTAAAACTGGGTAGTGTGAGTTTTCCAACTTTGTTTTCATACAAAATAATTTTGGCCATTCTAGTTTCTTTGCACTTTCATGTAAATTTTAGAAAGAGTTTATCTATATCCACCAAAAAATCTTCCTGGGATTTTAAATGGGAGTACATTAAATCTATAGGTAAAGTTGGAGAGAATTGGCATTTTGCCAATGTTGAGTTTTTCAACTATAAATACACTGTATTTCTACATTTATTGGGATTTTCGTTGATATTGTTCATCAGTGTTTAGAGACTTCTAGCAGATAGATCCTAAAAATATTTTGTTAGATTATACCTAGGTAAATTTTCAGTCTTTTGAAAAATGATCCTGATTTTAAAACTTTGATTTCTAGTTGTTCCTTGCTAGTGAATTAGTTCTTGGATTTTTAAAATTAATTCTTTAGGATTTTCTGTGTAAACAATCATGCTCTCTGTTAATATGTATTATTTTATTTCTTCTTTTCTGATTTTATGCCTTTTTTTCCCTTAGCTTATTTCACCAACTAGAACTTCCAATAAAACATTGAATAGAAGTGATGAGAGTGGATATATTTGCCTTGTTCCTGATTTTAGATGATAAACATTTTGTCTTTCACTTTAGATATGATGTTAGTTCTAGGGGCTTTTTGAAGATGAGCATTATTATGTTGCAAAGGTTCCATCCTCCTTCTAGTTTGTGAGGAAATTTTTATCTTAAATGGACATTGAATTTTATCAAATGCCTTCCCTGCGTCTATTGATATGACCACATGGTTTTTCTTAAGTCTATTAGTATGGTGAATTACACTGAAGATTTTTGAATGGTGAACCAGACTTGCATTCCCCCAAATAAACTCTACTTACTTATGATGTATGGTTGTTGAGGGTTTTTTAATATTATTCTTTTATATTGGTTCTCCTCTATGTTTTTATGTGTTTAATTTATTTGATGTCTGCTCTCATTTTATTATTTTCTTCCTTCTGTTTGCTTTTGCGGTGGTCTGCACTTATTTTCTAGTTTATTAATGTGAAGGTTTTTCTTCTTGATTTATATTTTTGTTTTCCAGTGTAAGGATTTTAGTGCTATAAATTTCCCTCTAAGGACTGCTTTAACTGCATCCCATGAATTTTAGTATGTTATATTTTTACTTTCAAAATACATTCTGATTTTCTTTGAGATTTTCTTTTTGACCCATATAATCTGTAAAACCATGTCATTTAATTTCCTGGATCCAATTTTTTATTACATTATTATTTTATTGAGGATTTTTTAGTATGCTTTTGTGAGAGATATTGGTCTACAATTTTCCATTCTTGTACTATCTTTGTCTGGTTTTGGCGTCAGAGCAATGCTGGCTACATAAAATACATTAAGAAATAGTTCTATTTTGTGAAAGAAATTGTACAAAATTGGCATTATTTCTTCCAGAAATGTTTGGGATTTCATCAATAAAATCATCTGGGCCTGGAGGGTTTTTTTGGGACCATTTTTAACTATGAATTCAATTTTAAAATAGATATGGGACTCTTGAGTTCTTGATTTCTTTTTCTTTAAATCTTTCAAGAAATCAGTCCATTTTATCTAAGTTGTCAAATGCATGTGCATGGAGTTGTTCATAGTAATCTCTTATTATGCTTTTAATGTCTGTGGGGTCTATAGTAATATCTCTTCTCTCATAACTAATATTAGTATTTTGTGTCTTCTCTCTCTTTTTTTTTTTTTTTTTTTTTTTTTTGAGACAGAGTCTTACTCTGTTGCCCAGGCTGGAGTGCAGTGGTGCAATCTCGGCTCACTGCAACCTCCACCTCCCAGGTTCAAGCAATTCTCCTGCCTCAGCCTCTCAGGTAACTGGGATTACAGACGTACACCACCATGCCCAGCTAATTTTTGTATTTTTAGTAGAGATGGGGTTTCACCATGTTGGCCAGGCTGGTTTCGAACTCCTGACCTCAGGTGATTCACCTGCCTTGGCCTCCCAAAATGCTGGGATTACAGGCATGAGCCTGGCCTTGTGTCTTCTCTTTTTTGTTCTTCATCAGTCTTCTTAAAAATTTATCAGTTTATTTGTCTTTCCAAGGTATTATTTATTGTTTCTCCTCTATTGTTGTTATGTGTTCAATTTATTTGATGTCCACTGTCATTTTTATTATTTTCTTCCTTCTGCTTGCTTTTGGTGTAGTTTGCACTTATTTTCTAGTTTATTAATATGAAAGCTAACCTTATTGATTTATCTTTTTTTTTCAGTATAAGGCTTTTAGTGCTATAAATTTCTCTCTGAGGACTGTTTTAACTGCATTCCACAAATTTTAGTATATTTTTATTTTCAAAATACTTTCTGATTTTCTTTGAGACTTCCTCTTTGACTCATGTAATCTTTAGGACTATGCCATTTAATTTACAAAGATATAGAGTTTTTTTCAGGTAACTTTCTTATGTTGATTTTTTGATCAATTTATGGTCATAGACTATGGTTTGTATGATTTCATTTATTTTAATTTAATAAATTTTTGGTGACTCAAAACATGGACTATCTTGGTGTATATTTCATGTGCACTTAAAAATATGTATTCTGTTGTTGATTAAAGTGTTCCATAATGATAATTAGATTAAAGTCTTGGTAGTGTTGTTCCAGTCTTTTATATCCTTGGTGATTTTCTACATACTTTTTAAATAATTACTGAAAGAGGAAGGTTAAAGTCTATAATTGTGGATTTGTCTATGTCTCTTTTCAGTTCTGTTACTGCCTGTATTAGGTAAAACAGAGCTTTTAAAGTTGTTATTAAATGCATACACAATTAAGATAGTAATGTCTCATTGATGAATTGAGCCTTATATCATTGTTTAAAGTGCTTCTTTCTTCCTGGTAGTTTTCCATGTTCTGAAGCCTATTCTGTCTGATATTAATATAAGCACTCCAGCTTTTTGTATTAGTGTTTGCATGGTATGTCATTTTTCAGGCTTTTGCTTTTAACCTATCTATATCATTATATTTCAAGTGGTGTTTTTGTAGACAGCATATAGTTATGTCCTGGTTTTATCATCAATGTGACAATCCCTGTTTTTAATACAAAAACTTTTACATTTAATGTAATTATTTATATGGCTGGATTTAGGTCTATATATTATTATTAGTTGTTTAATAGCCCTTCTTTTTTCTTTTATTCTTCTGGTTCCCTTTTTGCCCTTTTTTCTTTTCTCTTGGATTACATGAATTTTTTTATCTGTTGGTGTTTTACTATACCTCTTCATACACACACACACACACACACACACACACACACACACACACACGAATAGTTATTCTAGGCATTATAGTATACATACTTACCTTCTTTTGAATTATTACCTAAAATGTAAACTGAGAGTCAATATTTTACCCTTTCAGACAAACTATTGAAACTTTACAATCCATAACTACTTTTACCTCCCCCATATTGTAGTTGTGACATATATTACATCTAATGCATAGAAAAAATTGCATAGAAAATTCCATCTCACAATGTTATAATTTTCAATTTCAATAGAAATATATATAGAGAGATGGTGGTTAGATATAGATGTATTTTAAATACGTGCTATGAACTACATATGTGTTCATATGTAGGGAATTCGTATGCTGAAATCCTAATCCCCAAGGCAATGGTATTAAGAGATGGAGCCTTTGGGGAGTTAATTAGGCATGAGGGCTAATGGGATTAGTGCCCTTATGAAAGAGGTCATAGGGAGCTGCCTTGCCCCTTCCATCATGTGAGGATACAGAGGTACAGTGCTGCCTATGAGGGATGGGTCCTCACTGGATGCCAGCTATGCGAGCACTTTAATATTGGACTTCCAGGCCTTCAGAATTGAGAAATAAATTTCTGTTGTTTATAAGCTACCCAGTCTATGGTATTTTGTTATAGCAGCCAAAATGGACTAAGAGTACATAAAATCCCAAAAGTAACCTATAGACTTACTATGGGTAATGGATTACATGCTGTCCCCCTCAAAATATGTCCCTGTCCTAACCCCTGATATGGGTGAACGTGACCTTCTTTGGAAAAGGGGTCCTTGAAGATATAAATAAGTTAAGGATCTCAAGATGAGGTCATCCTGGACTGCCCAAATGGGTCCTAAATTCAATGATAAGTGTCCTTATAAGAGACAGAAAAGAAAACACAGCCATGAAGAGAAGGCAGCAATGTGACCACAGAAACTAGAATGATGCAGTCAAGGAAGCCAAGGAACGCTGACAGTCCCAGAAGCTGGAGGAGGCAAGGAAGGATTCTTCCCCCGAGCTTTGGAGACTGCACAGTCCTGCCACACCTTCTGGCTTTCAGAACTGTGAAGGGATAAATTTCTGTTGTTTTAAGCCACCAATTATGTGGTAATTGATTATGGCAGTTCTAGGAAAATAATACAGATATCATTTCAGTTGCTTTTCCTTAACTCATAAAGTTCCTATTTTTACTCTGTTATAATTCCTTCCACCTGAAGAACTTCTTTTAGCATTTCTTTTAAGGCAGGATCTTATAGCAATAAACTCTCTGTTTTCCTTCATGTGAGAATGTATTATTTGCCTTCACTCCTGAAGAATTTTTTCACTGGCAATAGAATTTGGGGTTGACAGTTTTTTTTCTTTAAGCACTTGAAAAATGTTATTACACTATCTTCTAATCTCCATAGTTTCTGATGAGAAATCTTCAATTATTCAAATCACTGACACTTTTCTTTTTCTTTATCTTATTTTTTTTTTCTTAGAGACAGGATCTCACTCTGTTCAGGCTGGAGTGCCGTGGAGCAATCATAGCTGACTGCAGCCTCAAACTCCCGGACTCAAGCCTTCTTGCCTCAGCCTCCTGAATAGCCGGGACTTCAGAAGGGCACTGCCATGCCTGGCTATTAAAAAAAAAATGTAAAGATGGAGTCTCACTTTGTTGCCCAGGCTGGCCTAGCTTTAAGTGATCCTCCTGCCTCAGCCTCCCAGAATGCTGGGATTATGAGCTGAGCCACCATGCCCAGTCAACTGACATTTTTCAATGATTCTTTTCAACAATTTTCTTTTTCATAGTTGGTTTTCAGCAGTTCAATTATAATGTGTTTGGAAGATTTTTCTTAAGTTTATTCTGCTTGGAACTTGCTGAGCTTCTTAGATCTGTCCATTTATTTTCCATCACCAAATTTGTGAAATTTTCAGCTGTTCTTTGCTCAATAATAACTTTTTTATCACCAAGATATCTCTCTAAGTTTTTGACATATTCCTCATTTGTTTTGATAAAAGTTTTCTTATTTTCTTAGAAAAAATAAGTTACTAAAAGTCATATATCATTGTATATCTTCAAAATATTGCTTAAAACTAGGACTTGTATTTAAATGTTTTTTCTTCTTAAAGACAATTTTAATTTATGATTTTCTGAATTCAGTCCATAAATTCAGATCATTCAAACTGTTAAGATGTCTTTTATGCTGACATTATTTTTAGATTTCCTGGAATTTCCACCAGGTAACACAAAATTCTGCTCCTTTACCTCATAAAGTAAAAATAATGGAGATAATTAGGTTTATTTAGCATTCTCCAGATGTTTTTACGTCAAAAATGAAGAGAGACCTTTTATTTTTTCAACTTAACAAAAAATGGACATATCACAAAAGTTTAGACTTCCTATCTTAAGTAACAAAACATTTTAATATTATACACATTTTTATGTTAAAATAAGCATGCTATTGTTCATGTACACAGACTGGTATAATAATTGTTTAAAATATTTGATATCTAGGTTACTTGATTCCAATACTTACGTTAATCAGGGCTGATCATAGTATACTTTATAGCACAAATCAAAGGTCCCGGAGGTTTGTCAATGTCTTCACTGTTCATAATGTGTTCTTACTCCCAGAGTTATTATTGACTATATCCTTATACTTGTGTTGTGTATCATACCTAAAAGAGAATTTTGCTTCGCTATATGTCCAGAGGATTTAGATTTCGAAAGAGACATCACAGGAAAAAAAGTGTCCTTGAGGCTTGATGAAAATGATATTTTCAGATCCTATTAATACATAATACAAAAGAAAAACTGTAAGGTGTGGACTCTAAGATCTATATCTCTCAATTAAAGAAATATAATTCATCCGTGAATCACTGAAAGGATGGTCTTAGCAGGACTTCAAGCTGAGGATCCTTAGGAACTTAGGAATTCTCCAAAAGCATAGATTTTGAGGGTGGAGACAGCTTCAAATTAAGACCATCAGATCATGGAAACAACTGTGAATAGTAGACAACTTCCATTCAAGATCTATGAAGAAGATCCAGATGACCAGAACCAGTGATTCCCATGCTTTATCTGCAATATGTCATTCTTTATTTCCCTAGCTATTTTCTCTCCTCTTTGTTAAAGTTTCTGATTGCTAACAGAAAGTTATTATTTCTTAAACATAATATCTGTACGGTTCCCATCCTTAATAATATTTCGGCATGTTTACATACTTCTTGGCCTGATTCCAATACCTGCCAGCAGTTTTATTGCAATTTGGCTAAAGAATACAATCAAACTGACCTTTGGATTTGTACTCATTTTTATCTGGGTGCCATCCAGCTTTATTTGATACCTTTTCCTTGTTATAAATAAGTTGGTTTCCACCAATCAACTTATTTAGATGACAAAAACCGTAACAGACCAGAGAGTCAAGAAACCTAAAGTCTCTGCTATGTCAAACCTATAAATGAGGTGTTTCTTCTTCTGTAGGAAAAAAATACACAGAAAAGCTAGCCTTTGCAATCAACCCTTACAGAAATAGAATGTAGAAAAAGCCAGGGAACAGTTGGGGTATATTTAAAACATTGCCTAACTTTTACAGACCTTGCAAGAAAGGTGCATTAGTTAAGCTAAACCCCCATCCCTGTCCAATTTACAGATTGCAGTCAATAGTCTTTTGTGCTTCAAATCCAATACTAGTTGTGAGGGATTACCCAATGATCTGCTTTCAGTGGAAATGCTCATATGGGGATGTCAGATAGAATTGGCCTAGCACTAGGTGATAGACCTTATGCCAGGCCAATTCTATTTGACATCCCCGTATGAGTATTTGAAGCACAAAAGACTATTGACTGCGATCTGCGATCTGTAAATTGAACAGGGATCTATAATGTGAGTAAACTGAGGTCTGCCTTCAGGAGAGTTCTTAGTATCACCCCGCCTCCATTTTGACCTGCAGACTTCCCTTCTACGAAAAAAAGACATTTAGATAATTTAATTCAAAAATGCTGAACTTTGGTTTACATCTTAAATCAACCCCTGAAAGAACATTTCAGACTGCTTTCTTCTTCATTTCACACTTTCCATGAGACTTGACAAGTAGGCAGGATTCTACAGACAATGGCAACATTGCTACAGCTGTAGAACTTCTCACCTAAGAGGTTCACAGGTGTGGTGATGGTTCAAAACAGAAGTCTTTCGAGGTAGGATGTGTGCTGACTTAGGGAAAGAATGCTGTACCTGCATTATTACAGACCTCTTTTGGATCTTTAATGTTGCTAAAATTATCTGGGTGGCAAACATAAAAATAGTGAAATTATGTAATTTGGCTAATACTCTCTATCTGCTTGTGTGGCCTCTTCACATTGGGGATAAAATGTTGTCACTCTTGGCTTCTGCCTTAAAAGTGACTACAAGTTCATATCATAATATTTCTCATAGAAATTATCTATGTTGGGCCGGGCACGGTGGCTCACGCCTGTATTCCCAGAACTTTGGGAGGCCGAGGCAGGAGGATCATGAGGTCAGGAGTTCAAGACCAGCCTGGCCAACATAGTGAAACCCTGTCTCTACTAAAAACACAAAAATTAGCCAGACATGGTGGCACGTACCTGTAATCCCAGCTACTCGGGAGGCTGAGGCAGGAGAATCGCTTGAACCTGGGAGGTGGAGTTTGCAGTGAGCCAAGATTGTGCCACTACACTCCAGCTTGGGCAACAGAGTGAGACTTCGTCTCAAAAAAAAAAAAAAAAGAAAGAAATTATATAAATTATATTGCCACTCTCAAATGTGTGCTCTCCAGAGTCTTAAAATCTGCTATGCAGTAGTTGTTCCATAAAATGATCCAAACATGATCTTCCAACAAAATGAACAATTAAAAAAATCTGTTATTAATAATGGATGGGGTGACTATCATCAGAAACCCTTCATATAACCACAACATATCAAACAGTGATATAAATCTGGATTGATCATGTCCCTAGTTGATAATCTTCTATTCTGTAGCTTAGGCTGGAGAAAAATGAAAAAGACTCCTGAGAACTGAAACCAACATAGTTCCGAGGCCTTACATTAAACACTACTGGGACTGGGCATACTTTCCTATTCTTATGTGAAACCATACTGAGGCAAGTAAAAATAACGACTTCATCTTACTCTAGGAAATACTCATCATCAAGACAATAAAACTGTGAACCAACTTAACAGCTTATTTAGCAAGACTAACAATTTGTTTATCAAGACTCTCTTCAAGTACCTCATCTTGCTGTGCTTATCAAGCCAAAGTTACCATATCATAAACTCTGCCCAATACCAAGTTACCTACTTTTCATGACTCAGCTTGAAATCTGCCCTATAAATACCTAAATACCTATAAATACCTATAACTACCCCCTATAAATACCTATAAATACCCCCATTTTGAGAAGCTATAAATACTTTATCAAATTGGTGTCCTCTCTCACTACTGTAAGTCTAATAAATTCAGTCTTGGTTGATCGATAGTCTTTTCTGGTGGTTTACTGGGGGTGGGGAGAGTAGAGAGTTAACACTGCTAAACTTTTCATCAATCTTTTCTTACCCTGAGTTGCAAAATGGGCCTCTTGTCCTCAGAGTATCTTACCTGATTGGTTTTCTATAAATTAAATACCTGTTTCTTTTGGCTTTTCAAAAGTGTATAAAGGCTTTCATTCCTCACCTTCACTGAGCCTGACTTGTGTAGGTCATCCCCAAACCATGAAGTCTACAGAGGAATACAGATAAATCTTGGTGATGGTAGAAGAGTGAGAAGATTATTTATTGCCCCACTCCTCTGCCAAACCTATTTTGTGAAAATTGCCTTCATACACAAATATAGAAGTGTATTCCCTGACTATCTAACAAGGAGAAATCTCCCAACCACTTTTTTGGTCGCATATGTAACAGGCTTTGCTTCCTGGGAGTCAGTTATTTTATGTTTCTCAACCGATTTAATAGTCTCAAATTCTCAGTCAAACTACCTTACCTTGTCTTTCTCTCTATTCACCCTCGCATTTGTTCAAGAAATTTTTAGGAGTTTTGGTTTCCTGTCCCCATCACCTTTCAAACGCAGCATAGGAGAGCATGAATTGTTTCAACTGTTTGTTGTTCTCTTCTTATATATTTACAAACTATCCTGAAGCCTAAGTTGCCCACACTTATGCAATCAGGTCAAAACTTTTCTCCAGAAAGTTTGTAAGAAGGGATATTTGCACATGATAATACTCTTCTCCCCTCCTTGTAGAATTGCTTCATAGCCATGGGGCCTAAGTCTGTTGGACTGCGAGCTAATTAGCGTCAATTAACTAAATAATATTATCAGCTGAACAGCACACTTTCGTGTCTCTCAGAAAGATTAACTTATGAACTAACCTCATTTTACTTTATTTTCTCTAGAGAAAACTAATCAGTGCCCAGTTTCTTTCTTCTAGGGATGAAGGAAGGAAGGGGAAGGTAAGAGGTCCCTGTTCTCTCTGAGGGTTTTGTGAAGCCCTGCAAGGCAAAGTCAACTACTATTGACTATCTGCTACCTTCAGGCACACATTTAATCCTTAAAGAGTGGCTTTCTTTTGTTGGGAGAAGCAATTTTGAGAATAATTTGTTAGGTCCTTCTATCAGGGTCGTAGTTTTCACTGAGAAATGACTGGCATACAAGCAACTCAATGCACATTGTTAAATGTGTGCTCTTTCCTTATAATATGTGGCAAAATTTTAATGGTACAATAATTTGGTCAAAATTTTGATTATATAATCACTTAATTATGTAATTATTCATTGTCAATCTTCCTCCACTAGAATATATTTTCCAGGACATCAGGAACCATGTTTGTACATAGAAGATAGCTCCTTGGCATATAATTGGTGCTCTTTCTCTCATAGTAGGCATTTCTTGCAACATAGAAAGACCTCAGTGAAGACCTGGAGTGAATGAATAAAAGAAGCTGCACAAGTACAAAGGAAACCAGTCATTTATACACAGTCTTGCTAAATTATGCCTGCCATTGAGGTTCTTACCAAAATGCAGTGCAATGAGGAAAATAAGTAGAATGGGGTAAACTTTCATAATATTATGTGGCTAATATTGCATTTTATTCCACTCTTTTGGTATTAAAAAGCCCTGCACAGCCTATAATAAAATGGTGGTATTTGTAGAGGATAGTTTTCCATTTTGTGATTTTTAAGTGGACATTACTTGGAAAATTCAAAATGGCATCCAACTTTATTTTATTTTAATAATTTTTATTCTTTATGAAATCTGAAAGTCTGAGAACCACTGATCTAAATCATGTCAAAGTATAATTTTCAAAAAATTAAAAACATGGCTCTTATATGGGTATATAGTATACAGATGTCAAAGATGTTTTGAACTCACTAATGAATCAGCAGGGATGGTAAGCCTGTTTCAAAAAAGGATATGAGAAATTAAAAAGAGAGTTACTAAAGGAAGAAACCTGAAATAAGATTGCTAATTTAGGTACAGGGTAATGAAATCATAACCCTCAGAGGTTATTTTTTCTATAGGACAAAAATCATTTGAATCACCACCAAAAAAAAAAAAAGGTAATTTGCAATTTATCCATTTTCTCCAAGTTGACTGTACTTTATAGAATCTGGGCCGTAACCAAAAGTAAATAGTAAATCAAACAAATTACTTTTGCTTAGTGTGATAGACGTCTCAGACCAGCTTGTTACCTAGTCTTCGGTATGAGTTTGAAAGGTCACACAGTTATCTTTCTGCTTTATTTCCAAATTTTAGACAATGTTCTTTTTTTTTTTTTGAGACAGAGTCTCACTCTGTCATCAAGGCTGGAGTGCAGTGGCGTGATCTTGGCTCACTGCAACCTCCTCCTCCTGGGTTCAAGCAATTCTCCTGCCTCAGCTTCCCGAGTAGCTGAGATTACAGGTGCCTCCCACCACACCAGGCTAATTTGTGTATTTTTAGCAGAGATGGGGTTTCACCATGTTGGCCAGGCTGGTCTTGATCTCCTCACCTCAAGTGATCTGCCCACCTCGGCCTCCCAAAGTGCTGGGGATTACAGGCGTGAGCTACCTTGCCCGGCCATGGACAATGTTCTTAAGAGGAACCTGCCTCTAATATTTAGATGGAGATTACATATATGTATGTATGTGTATAAGTAAACTTTGGTCTCTATAGATATGAAACTGAAAGGAGAGAAACCAAAAAATTAACGGTTGTTATTACTTGGAAATGGCATAAAGAGTGTTACAGTTTTCCAGAGCTGCCATAACAAAATACTCAGAGTGGCTTAAATAACAGAAATTTACAGTCTCACAGTTCTGGAGCTAGAAGCTCGAGATCGAGGTGTTGGCAGGGCCTTGCTCCCTCTGATGGCCCCAGGGGAGGGACGGGAGTGTTTGTGCCAGGACTCCTAGCGTGTGGTGGGTGCTTGGCTTGTGCCGGCACAACTCGTGTTCACATGGGATTCCCCTGTGTGTCTGTGTCCAAATGTCCACTTTTCATAAAGAAACCCATCAGATTAGATTGGGGACCCATCCTAGTCCAGTATGACCTCATCTTAACTAATTACATTCGCAACAACCCTGTATCTAGATAAGGTCACATTTTGAGGTATTGAAGGTTAGAATTTCAATATATGAATGGCGGGGAGGGCAGGACTCATAATCATGGGTAAGTTTTTCTGAGACTTTTCTTCACTTTCTAAGTGTTAAGAAATAATACCAACACCCATTTCCCAAAATACTCAAGAACTGTTTTAGATGTCTGTATTATTAGTTTCCTTGGGGCTGCTGTAACAAATTACCACAAACCGAATGGCTTAAAACAACAAAGATGGCCGGGCGCAGTGGCTCACACCCATAATCCCAGGACTTTGGGAGGCTGAGGCAGGCGTATCGCTTGAAGTAAGGAGTTTGAGACTAGCCTGGGCAACCTGGCGAAATCCCGCCTCCACAAAAAATACAAAAATTAGCCAAGTGTGGTGACAGGTGCCTATAGTTCTATCTACTCAGCAGGCTGAGGTGGGAGGACCACCTGAGCTTGGGAGGTCGAGGCTGCAGTAAGCTGTGAATGTGTCACCATACTCCAGCCTGGGTCATAGTGAGACCCTGACTCAATAAAATAAAATAAAATAAAATAAAATAAAATAAAATAAAATAAAATAAATAATGAAAATAAATAAAACAAAAATGCATTCTCATATTTTGGGACGCTAGAAGCCCCAAATCAAGGTGCCAGCAGGCCTGTGCTCGCTCTGAAGGCTCTAGGGAAGAATCTTCCCTCCTTTTTTTTTTTTTTTTTGAGATGGAGTCTCGCTCTGTTGCCAGGCTGGATTCAGTGGTGTGATCTCGGCTCACTGCAACCTCCGCCTCCCGAGTTCAAGCGATTCTCCTGCCTGCCTCAGCCTCCCGAGTAGCTAGGACTACAGGCGTTCACCACCACGCCCAGCTAATTGTTGTATTTTTAGTAGAGACAGGTTTCGCCATGTTGGCCAGGATGGTCTCGATCTCTTGACCTAGTGATCCGCCTGCCTCAGCCTCCCAAAGTACTGGGATTACAGGCGTGAGCCACCACACCCGGCCAGAATCTTTTCTCCTCTCTCAAGGGAGAAGCTCCCCTTGGCCCTCTAAAGTTTCTCTGAAAAATCAGCTCACCAAAGTCAGATTAATTGGAGAAAAGGCATACAAATTTATTTAACGTGTATACATAGGAGCCTCCAGAATGAAGACTTAAAGAACAGGGGAAATTGTCCATTTTTATGCTTAAGTTCAACAAAGTACGGACAGCCGTGTAGAAATGTGATTGGAAAAGAAGGGTGCGATCCAATGCTAATAGACCAAACCGGGGAAGCCAACAAGGCCTGTCTGTCTAGATTCCTCTCGGCCTCTCTGAGCATGCATCCTTACCTTCTGGGTGTGGGGCAAGGCTCTCTCTGGCATAGGGGTATTATGACCCACAGTCAAATAAGGCAGATAAAAATTTCTTTATGGCCACTTTTGACACCAAAAGGCAGAGGGAAAGTGAGAGTACTCTTTTTAGGTTTTATGGTTTTGGGGAAGAGGGATTCTAGTTTCTATGGTTAACCTCAGGGGAGAATTGGACTGAGAAACAGGAGGGCAGAAGGTCAGAGAAAAACTTTTGCTTCTGAGGCCTTCATTTTAGGGTATTGTTTTCTGAGCCCCAACACCACAATTCTTGGCATTCGTTGGCTTGTACCTTTATCACTCCAATCTCTGCCTCAGTCTTCACATTTAATTTTTTTTCTCGCTTTTTTCCCCACTTACTTTCTTAGTGGTTCTTCTAGGGCTTACCATAAACATATAAGTTATCAGAATCAAGTTTAGAGTTATACAAATTTATTTTCTTTATTTATTATTATTATTATCTTGAGACAGAGTCTCATTCTGTCACCCAGGCTGGAGTGCAGTGGCACAATCTCAGCTCACTGCAACCTACACCTCCTGGGTTCAAGCGATTCTCCTGTCTCAGCCTCCCGAGTAGCTGGGATAACGTACCCACCACCACGCCCAGCTAATTTATGTATTTTTAGTAGAGACAGGGTTTTGCCATGCTGGCCAGGCTGGTCTTGAATCCCCGACCTCAGGTGATCTGCCCGCGTTGGCCTCCCAAGGTGTTGGGATTACAGGCGTGAGCCACTGTGCCCAGCCTAAACAAATTAAATTCCAGTGAAATATAGAAATATTATTCCTATATAGGCCCACTCTCACTTCCTCGTTATTGAGCTATTGTTGTTATATTACAATATGTTTCAAACCTGTTACTATTTTGTTATAATTATTATTTTATATACTTTTCTGTCCATGAAAGAGGCTGAGAAAAAAAAAGCAAGTATATATTTATTTATACAATTTGTTATATTGATCTTATTTATCATTTCTGGTTCTCTTCACTTGTTCCTGCGCATTCAAGTTACCATCTGGTGTCTCTTCTTTACTCCAATACATCTTTGCTCTCACCCACCTTCTTTATGCTGTTATTGGCAAATATATTGCATTTCTATGTGTTATAGGTCCAACAATACAATTTGTATGTATATTTTTACATAATTGCATTTAAATCAGATAAAAGAAATGCGTGTATACTGTATTTTATAATTGCTTCGTTACCTTTACCAGTGTTGTTTTGTCACATGGATCCGTATTATTGTCTTGGGTCACAGGCAGTTTCTCTCGTCTGCTTTTTCTTCCTTTGTATGGGTCACATTTCCCTGTTTCTTATCATGTCTCATTCTTTCTTGTTGTTGAAAACTGGACATTTGGGCAATATATTGCAGAAACTGGATACTGGTTCCCCTCTCCCCGCTCTGGAGCTTGTTTTTCTTGTTGCCTGCTTGTTTATTTTTTTAATGGCTTAGATAGATAATTTTAGTGAAGTCTATTTCCCCTACAGTGTGAAACCTCTGATGTTGCTTTTCAGAGGGCATAGCTTTGGGCATGCACGCAGTCACCCTGATTTGACAGTGATTTCAGTGAAACTTTCTTTGACTGTCCCGATCTCTCTGTTAAGCTGTCTGCCTCCTTTGGTATCACACTGAGCTGTTAGGCTCCACTAACTGCTTGCTGATTGCTGTATTGACTGCTGGCTGATTGATCTCTTGTTTTTGGCAATGCCCTTGGGCATAAATTGTTCCACAGTCTGATCTAATTGAATTTGGACCACTTTTCAGGGATAGAATATTTTGGAGGACAGTTTTTGAGATTTGTTCCCCTGGAGAGCTCCTCTTAACTGTCTCTTGCCAGCTGTCTCTGTTAAATTAGCTGGCCTGTGGTTTTGGTTGTTACTCCCATAGATGTACCAACCTCCTCTTAACTGCTTTCCGCCAACATCTCCATTGTTTTTGAGAGTACCCTTAGGCTTGAACTTTACCATACTCGGTTTCAAATAAAATCAGTCCCTGTGGGGAGAGTTTTGGAGCTCTCTGTTCCTATAGATTGCCTCCCCACCTGGGGAAAAAAAAAATCTCTGAGCAGACTGGTCTGAGTACTGAGCAGGAGCAGTAGCCTCTGGTCTTCCCAGATTGCTTCTCCTGGCATGGCTCTTCCACTCCAGTAGTGAGCTGTGGCAAAAGTTACCAGGGCCCCAGTACTCTTAGCCTGCCATGTCTGGGTAGAGGCTCCTTCCTATGAATTGCAACTGGGTAAATGCAGGGCACCACGACCACAACCACACTCACCAGGGATTTAGCTTCTGCCACTCAGAGTTGGAGTATGACAGAGGCTAAAAGCCTGTGCCTCCCTGTGAAATGCTGTATCCTTGGCTATGAGTTTAGGAAAGGCATCCATTATATTGGCTACCCCTACCTGGAATGGAATTTCAATCAAGTTGCACTGAAGAGAGAGTCATGGATCAAGTACCACAAAGTCTTGCTATTCTTACCTGACTTTAGTAGATTTTCTTAAATAAGTATTTCTTCATCTGCTGTGTGCCCTTATAACAAGTTCCAGAGACTTGAAATGGTTGAGGTTTTTTAAAAAATAATTGTTACTAGTTATGCTTGTTTTGTTGGGGAGCAGGTCCACAAAACTCTTCACTACCGCCATTCCTGATATTTGTTCATCTTAAGAAGTGTGGTCATTCGTTTTCAATTGTAAACTTGAACTCACACATGGTAGTTGTTAAAATTAGGAACAATGTTTTACTAATGTTGAGTTTTTATGACATTTTGCAATAGGAAATACTTAAGGAAAGGACAAAATGACATTTCAGACTTAATTTTTTTCTCACAACATAAGGGAGAGGGCTAATATTCAATAGAATGTGGTTAGAGAAAAATGTCTCAGAAGATTCTATGTGTTTATAGTCTCATAAAAATGTTTGAAAACCTATGTTTAAAATCAAAAGCAGACATCTGTTGGGAGGCAGCTGAAAGTGGGTATTAGTGCAACGTAGGTGCAAAACCAAATTTACCTGTGTAAGTCAATCTAACTATAAGGGCTGATTTAATTATAATACCTCGTTTAATATTCTTTAATACCGGTAACGGCCAAGTCAGTTAATTAAGATTCTGCATCAGAGTAGAAGGTAGTGGTTAAAATGAGTATATAGCCCATGCCGTTTGTCAGTTTTCTTAGTGCGTTAGAAGCGGTTGCAACTTCAGAAAACTAAAAAATCTTATTTTAACTTTTATTTTAGGTTTGACGGTACTTGTGCACGTTTGTTATATAAGTACATTCATGTCATGGGGGTTTGTTGTTCATATTATTTCAACACCCAGGTATTAAGCCTAGTTCCCAATAATTGTTTTTCCTGATTCTCTCCCTCCTCCCACCCTCCACCCTCACGTAGGCCCCAGTATCTGCTGTTCATTTCTTTGTGTCCATGAGCTCTCATCATTTAGCTCCCACTTATAAGTGAGATCACATGGTATTTGTTCTTCTGTTCTTGCATTAGTTTGCTAAGGATAATGGCCTCCAGCTCCATCCATATTCCCACAAAGGACATGATCTCGTTGCTTTTAATGGCTGCTTAGAAATATATGTGTATATATACCACATTTTCTTTATCCAGTCTGTCATTGATGGGCATTTAGGTTGATTCCATGTCTTTGCTATTGTAAACAGTGCTGCAATGAACATTCATGTGCATGTAACTTTATGGTAGAAAGATTCATATTCCTCTGGGTATATACCCGGTAATGGAATTGCTGGGTCAAATGGTAGTTCTGCTTTTAGCTCTTTGAGGAATCTCCAGGCTGCTTTCCATAATGGTTGAACTAATTTACACTTTCACCAACAGTGTATAAGTGTTCCCTTTTCTTGGCAACCTTGCCAACATCTGTTATTTTTTGACTTTTAGTAATAGTCATTCTGACTGGTGTGAGATGGTATCTCATTGTGGTTTTGATTTGCATTTCTCTAATAATCACCGATATTGAGCTTTTTTTCATATATCTATTGGCCACATGTATGTCTTCTTTGGAAAAATGTCTGTATATGTCCTTTGCCCACTTTATAATGGGGTTGTTTGTTTGTTTCTTGTAAATTTAAGTTCCTTATAGATGCTGGATATTAGACCTTTATCAGATGCATAGTTTGCAAACATTTTCTCCCATTCTGTAGGTTGTCTGTTTACTCTGTCGATAGTTTCTTTCACTGTGCAGAAGCTCTTAAGTTTAATTAGATCCCATTTGTCAATTTTTGCTTCTGTTTTGATAGCTTTTGGTGTCTTCATCATGAAATCTTTGCCCATTCCCTTGTCCGGGATAGTATTGCCTAGGTTGTCTTCCAGGGTTTTTATAGTTTTGGGTTTTACATTTAAGTCTTTAATCCATCTTGAATTGATTTGTGTAAAGGGTTTAAGAAAGGGGTTCAGTTTCGATCTTCTTCATATGGCTAGCCAGTTATCCCAGCACCATTTATTGAATAGAGAGTCTTTTTCCCATTGCTTATTTTTGTCAGCGTCGTCAAAGATCTGATGGTTGTAGATGTTCATCCTTATTCCTGGGCTCTCTATTCTGTTCCATTGGTCTATGTGTCTGTTTTTGTACCAGAACCATGCTATTTTGGTTACTGTAGCCCTGTAGTATAGTTTGAAGTTGGGTAATGTGATGCCTCCAGCTTTGTTCTTCTTGCTTAGGATTGCTTTGGCTATTTGGGCTCTTTTTTGGTTCCATATAAATTTTAAAATAGTGTTTTTCTAGTTTCGAAAAGAATGTCATTGGTAGTTTGATAGGAATAGCATTGAATCTATAAATTGCTTTGGGCTGTATGATCATTTTAATGATATTGATTCTTCCTATCCATGAGCATGGGATGTGTTTACATTTGTTTGTGACTTCTCTGATTTCTTTGAGCAGTGTTTTGTAATTCTCCTTGTAGAGATCTTTCACCTCCCTGGTTAGCTGTATTCCTAGGTATTTTATTGTTTTTGTGGCAATTGTGAATGGGATTGCCTTTCTGATTTGGCTCTCAGCTTGGCTGTTGTTGGTGTATAGGAATGCTGATGATTTTTGCACATTGATTTTGCACGCTAAAATTTTGCTGAAGTTGTTTATCAGCTGAAGGAGCTTTGGGGCCAAGACTACGGGGTTTTCTAGATACAGGATCATGTAATCTGTAAACAGGGACAGTAGTTTGACTTCCTCTCTTCCTATTTGGATGCCCTTTATTTCTTTCTCTTGACTGATTCTTTGGCCAGGACTTCCAACACTTTGTTGAATAGGAGTGGTAAGAAAGGGCATCCTTGTCTGTGCTGATTTTTGAGGAGAATGCTTCCAGCTTTTGTCCATTCAGTATGATGTTGGCTGTGAATTTTTCATAGAGATGGCTCTTATGATTTTGAGATGTATTCCTTCAATACCTACTTTATTGAGAATTTTAACATGAAGGATGTTGAATTATATTAAAAGCCTTTTCTGCATCTATTGAGATAATCATGTAGTTTTTGTCTTTAGTTCTGTTTATGTGAATCACATTTATTGATTTGTGTATCTTGAACCAACCCTGCATCCCAGAGATGAAGCTTACTGGATTGTGGCAGATTAGCTTTTTGATGTGCTGCTGGATTTGGTTTGCAAGTATTTTGTTGAGGATTTTTGCACCACTGTTCATCAAGGATATTGGCCTGAAGTTTTCTTTTTTTTGTTGTGTCTCTGACAGGTTTTGGTATCAGGATGATGCTGGCCTCATAGAATGAAATGGGGAGGAGTCCTTCCTCCTCAAGTTTTTGCAATAGTTTCAACAGGAATGGTACCAGCTCTTCTTTGTACATCTGGTAGAATTTAGCTGTGAATTCATTTGGTCCTGGGCTTTTTTGGTTGGTAGGCTATTTATACTGATTCAATTCTGTAGCTCATTGTTGGTCTGTTCAGGGAGTCAATTTATTCCTAGTTCAGTTTTGGGAGGGTGTATGTGTCCAGGAATTTATCCATCTCTTCTAGACGTGTTCATAGCAGTTTCTGATGGTTGTTTTTATTTCTGTGGGGTCAATAGACATATTCCCTTTATCATTTCTAATTGTGTTTATTTGGATCTTTTCTTTTTAATTAGTCTAGCTAGTGGCCTATTTTATTAATTAAAAACTCATGGATTCATTGATCTTTTGAATGGTTTTTCATGTCTCAATTTCCTTTGGTTCAGCTCTGAATTTTGTTATTTCTCATCTTCTGCTAGTTTTGGGGTTGATTTGTTCTGCTTCTCTAATTCTTTCTCTTTTTTTCTTTCTTTTTTTTTTTTTTAGATGGAGTCTCGCTCTGTTGCCAGGCTGGTGTGCAGTGGTGCAATCTTGGCTCACTGCAACCTCCGTGTCCCAGGTTCAAGTGATTCTCCTGCCTCAGCCTCCTGAGTAGCTGGGACTACAGGTGCATGCCACCACACCCAGCTAATTTTTGTATTTTTAGTAGAGATGGGTTTTCACCATGTTGTCCAGAATGGTCTCTATCTCTTGACCTCATGATCCGCCTGCCTCAGCCTCCCAAAGTGCTGGGTGCTTTTCTAATTCTTTCAGTTGTGAAGTCAGGTTGTTAATTTGAGATCTTTCTAACTTTTTGACATAGAGGTTTAGTGCTGTGAATTTCTCTTTTAACACTACCTTGGCTGTGTTCCAGAGATTCTGGTACGTTTTATCTTTGTTCTCATTCGTTTCCAAGAACTTCCTGATTTCTGCCTTAATTTTATTATTTATTCAAAAGTCATTCAGGAACATGTTTGATTTCCATGTAATTGCATGGTTTTGAGTGATTTTTTTAGTTTTGACTTCTATTTTTATTGTGCTGTGGACCAAGAATGTGTTTGGTATGATTTCACTTCTTTTGCATTTGCTGAGGATTGTTTTATATCCAATTATATGGTTGATTTTAGATTATGTGCCATGCGGTAATGAGAAGAATGTATATCTGTTTCTGTTGGGGGTAGAGGTGAAGAGTTCTGTAGAGGTCTATCAGATCCATTTGGTCCAATGTTGAGTTTAGGTCCTGAATATCTTTGTTAATTTCCTGCCTTGATGACCTGTCCAGCATTTTCAATGGAGTGTTAAAATCTCCCATTATTGTGTGGGAGTCTGTTTCTTTGTAGGTCTCTAAAAACTAGCTTTATGAATCTGGGTGCTCTCATGTTGGGTGCATATATATTTAAAACCATTAGGTCTTCTTGTTGAATTGAACTCTTAACCATTATGTAATGTCCTTCTTCATCTTTTTTGATTTTTGTTGGTTTAAAGTCTGTTTTGTCTGAAATTAGGATTGCAACCTCTGCTTTTTTTCTGATTTCCAGTTGCTTGGTAGATTTTCCTCCGTCCCTTTCTTTTGAGTCTACGCTTGTCATCACATGTGGGATGGGTCTCTTAAAGACAGCACACCACTGGGTCTTGCTTTTATATCCAGCTTTCCACTTTGTGCCTTTTAAGTGGGGCATTTAGCTCACTTATATTCAAGGTTAGTATTTATACGTGTGGATTTTATCCTGTCATTGCGTTGTTAGCTGGTTATTATGCTGGCTTGTTTGTGTGGTTGCTATATAGTGTCACTGGTCTGTGTATTTAAGTGTACTTTTGTATTAGCTGATAGCAGTCTTTTCTTTCTATATTTAGTGCTCCTTTCAAGATCTCTTATAAGGGAAGCCTAGTGATAATGAACTCCCTCAACATTTGCTTATCTGAAAAGGATCTTATTTCTCTTTCACTTAGGAAGCTGAGTCTGGCTGGATATGAAATTCATGGTTGAACGTTTTTTGTCTTTAAGAATATTGAATATAGGCCTCTCATCTTTTCTGGCTTGTAGGGTTTCAGCTGAGAGGCCCACTTTTAGCCTGAAGGGGTTCACTTTGTAGGTGACCTGCCCTTTCTCTCTAGCTGCCTTTAACATTCTTTCTTTCATTTCAGCCTCGGAAAATCTGATGACTACGTGTCTTGGGGATGATCTTCTTATGTAGAATCTTGCAGAGGTTCTCTGTATTTCCTGACTTTCACTTCTCCAGCTTCTCTAGCAAGGTTGGGAAAGTTTTCACGGACAATATCCTGAAATATGTTTCCCAAGTTGGTTGCTTTCTCCTTATCCCCTTCAGGGAGGCGAATGATTCATAGATTTGGCCTCTTTACATAATCCCATACTTCTCAGAGGTTTTGCTCATTTCTTTTCATTACTTTTTCTTTATTTTTGTCTGACTCTCTTATTTCAGAGAGCCAGCCTTCAGGTTCTGAGATTCTTTCCTCAGCTTGGTTTATTCTGCTGTTAATACTTGTGATTGCATTGTGAAAATCCTGTATTGTGTTATTCAGCTCCATCAGAACCATTAGGTTCCTTTTCATACCAGCTATTTCATCTTTCAGTTCCTGTATAATTTTATTGTGATTCTTAATTTCTTTGAGTTGGGTTTTTTCATTCTCCTGAATCTCGATTATCTTCATTCCTATTCATATTCTGAATTCTTTCTGTCACTTGAGCCAGCTCAGCCTGGTTAAGAACCCTTGTTGGAGAACTGGTGCAGTTCTCCAACTTTGGAGTTTGGAGGACATATGACACTCTGGCCATTTGAGTTACTGGAGTTCTTGTGTTGGTTCTTTCTCATCTCTGGGTGTGAGTGTTCCTTTAACTGCAGTATAGATTGAGTACAGTCAATAAACTTCTTGCTGGATGTTTTCACAGGGCCAAGGCTTTATGCAGGGTCTTTATTTGCAGCAGACTTCTTGTGTCTGGTTTCACAAGAGGGTATGTTAGCAAGGTATTTTTGGTGTTGAAGCTTTGGGGTGTGATTCAGTAGGTGGTGCTTAGGCGTATTGGTCACTTGGTAGGCTCTTGCTTGGTCACGTGGCTCCTCTATATTTCCTCACAGTTGCAGCCATGCTCCCTCTCAATGCTCTGAAAGTGTGGGCTCCTCTACCACTTGAATGCTGGCTGTAGATTGAGGCTTCGCACTTTTGGGCTGCCCACCATAGCTCTGGGGCAATCTCAGGGTTTATTTTCCTTCCCCAACTTGGAGGCAGTACAGGAAGGAACCTTAGTAGTCACTGTGGTCAAGGGTCTTTTGCTTGTCTCCTGGAGGCTCCACCCCAGAGGGATGCAGTTCGGCAATCACTCAGTGTAATCATCCCAGGATGGAGGGTCTGTGCTGTGGGTCCAAGCTGGGGTTCCCTGTCTGGTGACAAGTAGGGTGGAGGGGGGTGTGTGGGACCCATGGGAGATGCGCTGGCCTTCTCTCCTTGGGTTGACAGCAGTTTGGTTTGTTGGAGGTGTGGATAAAGCACTTAGGGTCTTTGCTCCTTTGTTAGTCTGAGGGTGGCAAGGGCAGTTCCACTGCAGAGGCAGTGGCAGAGAGGCTTTTGGTTGCCCCTGGGGGCTCCACCTCTGAGAAACTCAGAGCCACTATTATTGGGAGGTGTTCAGCCAGTGGGGTAGGGTGGCTGCACTGCTGCTGTGAGCTTGGAATTCTGCTTGTTGGGGAGCAGGGGGTTGAAGTCTTACAGGGAGGAGAGGTTGGTGTCCTTTCCATATGGTAGCTGTGGGGTACTGTAAGTTCACGTGTACTCCTCAGGCTCTTTGTTTCTTCCCCAGGCCAAGGGCAGGAGGGATAGAATTGTTACTGTGGCAGTGGCAGAGGGGCTGTTGTATGCCTCTGGGAGGCTCTCCCTGGGGAAACTCTGGGCTACTACCAGTGGGCATGTTCAGCTGTGGGCGGAGCAACTGTTCTGCATTCATGAGCCAGGGCCCCTGCCTGGTGAAGAGTGAGGGTGGTGGTTCCCAGGGAAGAGGGGTCTGGACTTCCCTCCATATGGCGGCTGCGGTGTGCTGGAGGTGCCAGTGTAATGACTAGGCCCTTTGTTCCTTCCCAGTCCAAAGGCTGTAAAGGCTGAGCCACTGCACCTGTAGTGGTGGAGGGGTTGTGGGTTGACTCTGTGATTTCCTCCTTGAAGAAATGCTGGGCTGTCTTTGATTGTGGTGATCAGGCAAGGGTTGGGTGGTTGTGCTGGAGTCCCACGTCAGGCGGCCCTGCCTAATGAGGAGAAGTGAGGACCAGGAACTGCGTGGAGAATAGTCTGGCCACTTTTCTGTAAGGGGATTGCTCTTTGTTGGGGGTCCAGACAAGTCCCCGGTCCCCACAGACTCTCCCGAGCCTGGAGACAGCAAGGGCAAGGGCTGCAAGACAGTGAAGATGGCAACACTCCCTTGTCCCCCGCCACTGTGAGGTCTGTCGAGGCAGTTGCAGAGCTGCTACTGGCTTAATAGCCCCAGCAGGGTGTGGGTAGAGGTCCAGGCCTGGAGGACCTGCACAGTGAGGAGACATGGGAACAGGCCCCCATGTAACAGTCTGGCCACTTTTCCGTAGGTCTGCTACTGGGGGTTTGCTTTAGTCCCTAGTCACCTTGGATTTTCCAGTGCCTGAAGGTATCAACAGTGGAGGGTGCAAAACAGCAAAGATGGTGGCCTGCCCCTCCCTCCGAAAGCCCTGTGCCGGGGAGGTATGGACCTGTTGTCCACCCCAAGGCACCTGTAGAAGGTGGCTGGAGACCCTAGTCGGGAGGTCCCGCCCAGTCAGGAGGAATGGGATCAGGGACCTGCTCAAAACAGTAGTCTGGCCACGTTTTCACAGAGTAGCTGTGCTGTACTGAGGATCTAAAAAATCTTATGTTAGAGATTTATACTTTAATATGAGAATAAAGAAGTATTATGAGATGCTTCCCAATCTGTGTTTTCATTTATTAGTATTCTCTGTGATATGCCAAGTGATAGTTTACAAAATGTGGCACCTATAAATATACTTTAATTACTCATTCAGTTCAATCACTTAGTCAACAAATACTTATTGAGTAAATACTGAGCTGTTGTAAATTCTGGGGATATCAATGTATGAGATAGACAAGGTCTCTGTTCTCTTGGAGCTTATTCTAATTATTGTCTTAAAATAAACAGATAAACGTAGAAATGGGTTGTAGTGGATGGCATAGTGCACTGTTCAGATACCTCTGTCAGGACAAAGGCAGTCACTTGTGAGCTTCTGGGAGTGCTGGCTACTGTTATCTCATAGGTACATCTCTCTTCTGGAATTGCTTTCTGTCAAAGGAACCTACTTCATCCAAGTTTACAAGCTTTCTCCTAGGGTAGCCTGTGCCCAGTGACTGTTTAACGTGAAGTATGAAGATGTGTTCCTCTTGCATCAATTTATAGACAATTTGGAAAAGCTGTTTTAGCTCCAGAGAGCCCCAAAGGATTACCTACGACTTCTGTTATAATTTTATCACTGTAGGATTTTTGTCCCTGTTCAATTGTTTCCTGTACTTAAAGGTGTTGTTTCTGGGGAAGCTCCCCAATAAACATCATACACACAAATCTCCAACACAGATCTGATTCTGGGAAACTCAGCCTAAGCTGGTGGGTACTAGGAAGTAGATTCTAAACAAAACTTTTGAGCTGAATCACCTGTTAAAATGTGAAAAAAGCTAAGGTCAGTGCAAGAATTTAATTATAAGTGTAGTGGAGCCTCAGAGAAGGTTGAACTGTTAACCCCAGCAGCTCTGAAACATTAGTAAAAAGGCTTCATTTAAAAAGTGGGACCCTTGGATTAGGATGGGGACATCTGGGTCAATAACATTTGAAAACCTGTATACCCAAATATAGCTAAACCCTATGGGCCAGCAAACGTGTCTCACTCCTCCCTGTTAAAGGCTAGCCTGCCCCTCTAGCTTGTATCTGATGCAATGATCTATTCTTGAAGAACAACACATCGCACCCTCAGGGTCTACCCTCACCTACCTCCTAGCCACTAGACCCCTAGTTAGGGTCAAATCTTAGGATAACCTGGAAATGATCTGGGTCTACTAGGGAAGGGAAAGGAACTGTACACTGTAAGTGTAAAGGGTTACCCAGCATGAACTGGCAAGAGCCAGGAGAGTATATATAGAACAGGAATGTGATAGCTGGTTTAAGGGATGAAACATAAAAATGAACAAGCGAGTTTTTTTAATACAGGAGTACCTTCCTACAATACAGAATTTAACACCCTCACAAAGACCAAAGGAGATGCTACTAATATCTGCTAGGATAGCTCTTGGAAGCTGGAGGAAATCAACGGCCCACACTACATGCAGTATAAATGCCAGATCTTTTGGGGAGGACAGTGGAGAAAGAAATCAAAAGGCTCAGAGAAGACAGCACGCAAGAGTGAATATACTTCTCAAGGCCTAACAACTCAACAGCCAACTCTGTTCTATGGGAGGACCCAGAGAACACTCCATTTACCAAAGAAATGAGAAATGTGCTGGTGAGAAGGGCATCAGCATCATTGAAAAGCTCAGTTATGGTTCTTCTCCTTGAGTCATGGCTAAGGGCAGGAGATGCTATTAGAAAACCCGGCCCTGAGTGTCAATGGAGATGATATAATCATGAAATAACAGGGTCTAGATGGTAGCATTTCAATGACAGGAGCAAGGTGGGAATAGTTGTTGAAATGAATAGCAAAGTTGGAAGGACAGCCAAGAGGGCCTGATTTGCAGGGCTCTATGGAGATGCCATAAAAAACATGGTATTTAAAGGTGCAGGATAAATGAGCAACCAACAAGACATTGCTATATATAATTATTGACATATATATATAATCAAAGATGATCAAGAGTGCATTAGCAGAAAAATGGGGTCAGTCACTCCAAAAAAAACTCACAATCCTTTCCCTTGTTTCCAGACCTGAGCTAATTCTTAGACCTGAAGCCTATTGATTGAAAGATAAGTTGGGTCCCTATTAAGTAGGATCACAGCAAATATCTGCCATAATGACCCAACCACGACAGTAAAGATTTTAGGGGCCAAGTCTGAGGAGGAAGAATCTAAGGAGTAAAGTTTGAAGTGCACAAGAACATCCATTTAAAAGCAAAGGACACATTACTGCATCTCACCACTTCCAGCACTAGGAAGGAAGCAGAGAGCTTGCTAGGTGTCTCTGGGTTCTGGAGCAGCATTTGCCACAGTTGGAAATACAGCTCTAACCCATTCACCAGGCAAAGAGGAAGGCTCCCAGCTTTGAGTGTGACTTACAGTGGGAAAGCATCTGCAGCAGGTCGACTGCTGTGCAATCAGACTGGCGTCTTGGGCCATATGATCCAGCAGAGTCTAGGTTACTAAAGGTATCTGTGCCGTGAAAAGATAACATGTGGAGTTTAGGGAAGCCACGGTAGAAGAATCATAACATAGAGCTCCTAGAGTTTGCAGCAAGACCATGCCATCTGCAGCAAACAAGTATACACCATTTGAGAAACATGTTGGTGTTTCCTGGTTTACTAGGGCTACTGAACCCTGGTAGTGAAAAGGCTTCTGACCATAGGACATCAAGTGACCGTGGGTGAGAGCTGACCATCATGAGGTGCATCCTGTCAGATTCGTCACATCATGAGATAAGGTGGCACAGCTGCAGTTCATTGTGGGGTGAGAATAGGATCAGTTATAATCAGTTGTGAGCAAGGCCAGAGGGCATTAAAAAATACACTGTACCAGTGTACTGCCCAGATTTCCACATCATTTACCACTATTGCATTAACAACACTTTCCCAGTTCACACCTGTGCCACCTCATAAGTGGAGGTGATCCCTTATGACCAACAATAAAGGGGAAAAACAGCATTGCTTCACTGATGGAGGTGTCGTAAGTGCATGCAAGCTGAAAATGGACTGCTGCTATACCAGAGTCCACTCAAGGGTGAGCCAGGGTGTTAGTTCCCTAGGGTTTCCATAATAAACATCATGAGCCAAGGGGCTTAAAACAACAGAAATTTATTCTCTCACATTTCTGGAAGCTGGAAGTCCTAACTTTAAGATGTTGCAGGGCCACGATCTCTCCAAGGGCTCTAGGGAAGAATGCTTCCTTGTCACTTCTAGCTTCCGGTAGTTGTTGGCAATTCTTGGCCTTCTTTGGCTTGTGGCTGCATAACTCCAATCTCTGCCTCCACCACATGGCCTTATTTCCCTTTGTCTGTGTCTCTAAAATTTCTATTTATAAGAAGCTTTGACACTGGAATTACGGCTACTGTTATCCAGTATGAACTCATATTAATAATTATATCTGCAAAGGCCCTATTTCCAAATAAGATCACATTCTTAGGTACCAAGGGTAAGGATTTCAACATGTCATTGAGGGGACATATTTCAACCCACAGTGCCTTGAAAGACAGAAGTGAGAGAAAAATCCTCCCACTGGGGATAGCTTTAAACAGTGCACTTGGTCATCTACATAGGGTGTAGAAGGAGAAGTGGCTTAAGCCAGGAATATACAGAAACTCATATGCAAGGTGAATGATTTGACTAGTTGGACAGGGGTCTGGAAGATCAGAGACAAAAACATACGGGGAAAAGACATGTGAATGGAGCATGGTAGTGGCTCAACAAGGGTTACAAAGACTCAGCCCCTTCGTCTCATTTTAGCAACAATTTTAAATGGCCATCCTCGTTGCAAATTATAGATATAAAAGAGGATTTGGAGAGAAGAGGACTGATTTGGGATGTTATAGGAGTTCTAGGAGTTCTAGGAGTTCAGCATATAGGGCTCGCTAGCACCCAGCACCTGAATGAGTGCTAGGCATGGTATAAGTACTCAATAAATGTAAAGGTTGAATAAATGACTGCTAAGTTTTGGCTCCTGCTACTGACTACATTGTGGTGCCATTTACTGAACTGGGGAAGATTGAGGGAGAAATTGCTTTGGTGAAGTGACAGAGCAATCAAGACAGTTTTTCCCATGCTGAAGCTTTCTTTCTGCAGGCTTTCTCTTGTGCCTCAAGAGCTGCTGGCCACAAGCATGAACAAACTAAAATATTGGGGATACACCCCTCAACCCATGGAAGGGGTATGGGATAGCTGGTGGATGAATGCCTCCGCCTCTCCCTCCCTACTGGTGGAATAATTCTGAGGCATGGTTCAATTTTCTCAGAGAATCCCCAGTGAGAATGAGCTCCATTTGAACACAGTGGTGGCCAGCTTAACAAAGCCTTTACTGGCTTTCTTCATTACCCCACCTCTCTTTCACTCACTTCCTCACTTGTGTTCCCTGAAATCCCCTTCCAAATAAATGCTCGCCTTGGGCTTTTAGAGGATACACAGACTAAGGCAAACAATAATGATGAGAATGTCAGGCCTTGGGTCTACAGATCATCTTTGTCTAAAGTTCTCTCCCTTGTTGCTCCATCCAAGTTCTTAACATTCTTTAAAACTCAGTTCAAATCTCACTCTTCATGTATCACCTCTAATCTCAAGTGGCCCCTTAGTGCTAAGTAGCAATTGTAATTTCTCTAAGCCATTTTTTTGCCTGCTCCTAGACAACTATTTCATATCTTTACCTCTTTCTCAAAACTTCAGAACTCTATTCAGCCACAAGTTTGGATTGTTATTACTATTTGTTTGTGACTAGAGTCCATTTTGGCTGGAACTGGTTTGAACTGCAACACCATGTTCCTCATCCTCAATTTCTGTTGTTGAATTTACTTCCCCTGTAAATGAGAATTAAGTGGAAATGAGAATTAATCCGAATAGAATTCCTATACCCTCCCAACATAACATCTGCCTCCTTCCTACATCTGGACCCAAAACCCTGCTCTCTCCCCACAACCCCATTAATATAAACGAACTGTCTGTGCTTCTATGCAAAGCCATCTACTTCCCTTGGGCCCTGTACCCCATCCTTTCTCTATTATTCAGGACATCACTCTAGCAATTGTCCCTTTTGTTTCTCCATCATCAAATTTTCCTTCTATACTACATAATTCCCTCTAAATAATAACATTTTTATTTCTCACAATTCAAAAACAAAACAAAAAATGATGACATGACCCCATTTTTCCCTCCAGTCACCACTCATTCGTCTGTTTCCCTTTCTTCAAAACTCTTTGAGAGTTGTATGTGTTTTTTATCTTTCATTACCTCTCCCTTCATTCTAAATTGTTTGCACTTCAGAGAAGTTTTTATTTTCACTGTTAAACCAAAGCAGTTCCTACCAAGAACACATACAACCTTTATGAAGCTAAATTCAATGGTTGATCCTCAGTCCTCAACTGCTGGGCCACATGACATGATTAACACTTTCTTCTGGACACATTTTTCTCACGTGGCCTCTGGATCATCCCTCCTCATTCACAGTTCTAGTTCTCTTTTGTTTGTTCCTCCCAATGTCTCTGATCTCTAAGTAGAGTGTCTTATCCTCTAACTTTGTTCTTCTCTTTATATATCTGTTCCCTACCTTCTCTTTTCTTCTTTCCCCATTTTTCTCCTATCTGCCCCATCTTATCTGCTTTTGTGATCTTAAATGCTTTCTTTATGGAGATGAGACTCCCAAATTTGGATCTACAATCTGGATCTCTTTCCTCAATTCCAGAATCATACATCCAACTGTTTAAATGTCATCCTCCCACTTGCTTTCAAATGACTTCACATTTATTAAAGTCCAACCATGAACTTCTGATTTACACTAAAGACCTGCTCCTCCTCTTTTTTATCTCAATAAATTTCAACCAATCCATTAGCAAATGCCATCAGCTCTACCTTCAAAAAATATATAAAAACAACAACCACAGTGTGTGCCTCCTCCTCACCACTTCCGCTGCTATGTCTATACTTTCACCCACCACTGGATATTTGCATTGACTTTTTATAGGTCTCACTGCCTCTGCCCTTCACTCCTGGCAGCCTATACTCAATGCATCCAGGGCCAGCATCATGGGCATGTGACCCATGCAGTCACACAGAGTCCCTCACTCACAAAGACCCAGTGCTCGGTTTAATGCTGTGCTGTTGCCATCTTGAATTTCTTGATAATTTTTGAACAAATAGCCTCACACTTTCATTTCTCACCAGGTCCTTCAAACTGTAGCCAGTCCTGAATGCACCCAACTAGGCCTTTTAAATCATAAACCAGATCATATCACGTCTCTGTTCAAGACACTACAAAGGCTTCCTACTTCATTCAGAATGAAAGGCAAAAGCCCTACAATGACCTCCAGGGACACATGTGACACCCCTCCCCACCCCTCACCTCTCTGATCTCATCTTCTATCATTCTGCCTTTTGCACATTCCTTGATGTTTCTCAAAGACACTAAGAACACTTTCAACCTTAGGGCCCTTGCATAGCTTTTTCTTCTGACTGCTGCACTCTTACTTGAACATTGCATGACTTGCTCTCGTGTTTTCTTCAAGCCAAATTATAAGTGAGGCCTTCTCAGATTATTCTAAATAAAATAGAAATCAACATCAACCCCTTGACACTGGTGCTTTCTACCCACTTTATCCTGCTTTATTTATTTATTTATTTATTTATGACAGGGTCTCACTGTCACCCAGGCTGGAGTACAGTGGTGTGATCATGGCTCGCTGCAGTCTCAAACTCCTGGGCTCAAACAATCCTCCCACCTCAGCTTCCCAAGTAGCTGGGACTATAGGCATGTACCACCACACCTGGCTAGGTTTGTTGTTGTTGTTGAGGCAGGGTCTCACTATGTTGCCCAGGCTGGTCTCAAACTCCTGAGCTCAGGCAATCCTCCCACCTCAGCCTCCGAAAGTGCTGGGATCACAGGCATGAACCACTCACTCACATGCCCAGATCACCTGTTTTATTTTTTACCTTATACCTATCACAAGCTGACATTCATTCTTACTTAATTACTTATATATAGCCTGTATGCCTCTCCAAATCTAAAATGTAAGCTTCCCAACCTCAGGGATATTGCACTGTTCTTTGTGATATTTCTCTTACCCAAGGCACTGCATACCACATAGTATTTGTTGACTGACTGACTGACTGACTGAATGAATGAATGAATGAATGCACATATCATATTGAGAGACAGGCAGCATTGCTTCCATGCCCATGTTGTGTATACACTTCAGGTAAGCTAATGGCAGTGAAGCTGATGTCACTTCTCAAGTATCTTGAAAGTATCAGAGAGAAAGTGTTTCAAAAGAGCAAAGAAGTGACTCTAGTCCAAATGAAGTCACAGCCATTCATGTGACAATTGCCTTCTATTTCTTTGAGAGCCGCTGTACTGCTGCCTCATGGAAATCTTTAACTTTTCTACTGTTACTTAATGTTTTTACACATTGAAATATGATTTCCCCAACCCTAAGTTACTCCCTGTAGATAGAAAATTCTCCCTTATGACCCAGAAGAGCACACTACCTCAGAGAGGGAAGACTCACTCTGTCAATGTGGGATGATTAGTTGGTTGTCAACACCACAAGACTCTCCTCATCTGATAGATGTAGACGTACCAGAGTTTCAAACTTTCAGAGGAAGAGCCAGAAATGTTCATCGAGAATACACTTGTGCTGTTTAGTTAAAGCTCTCTGCAACGGATGCATCGCTGGTGCTCTGCTCAGTTCCTCTTTACCTGCTTCTGCACTCATGCTGTGATGGGAACTGTGAGTACTGATGGATGCCCCCTTCTCCTGAGAATTGCTCTCGGCCGATGCTAGCACAGGAAGCTCTACCTCTTTCCCTTCCCACCAAACCCTGGGACAAGGACTAATCGACCCAGGGGTTAAAGGGTAACCCCATGCCTTGGAATGGTATTAACCCTGTGGTGCAATTTGTGCTCCAGAGCTTCCTCATGGGTGAGACAGAAGCACGTGTCCTGTTGTGTCCACAACTACACTCAGCCTTTTTTGCTCATTCAATCCTCATTTTGGGCTATGTCTTCAGAAACTAAACCGAAGGCACTATCCAAAGATTACTTGTGTATTTCTTATAGAAGCCCCCACTCCACCCCCACACACAGACATTCCTCAAATAGGTTCCTATGACCTACCAGTTGAAGCCCAGGCTTCTTATCTGGACATTAAGTCTTTGCATGGTCAGTCGGGTCTCTGTCTTTCAAGATTTATTTTTCACTATCATACACCATATTAACCTACTCAGGGCTGCCTACTTTACATTCTCTCCCAGCCCTGCACATTCCTTGGAAAGGCCTCCCCTGCCTCGCCTGAATGATGAACACTCTATTCCTTATTCAAGACTCTAACATCACTTGCCCTGTGAAGGCTCCTCAGATTCCTCTAGGCTCAGTAGGTGCCACTCCTCAGTCCCCTACAGCATATGGTGTCAATGACAACAGTGATATGCTTGTCTGATTCCTCCACTTAACTATGAATTTTTTGTTGTTGTTAATAAAAACGTTTATTTTGCATTTTATACAGAACCGCCTGAAGTCTGCATCATGACTTGATGGTTACCCAGGGGTTTATGTGTGTCCAACTGAACACCGTGGTTCTGGGATTGAGGATCCGCACAAACACAGGCAGGAGTTTGGAGGGAAGAAGGGGGCACAGCAGGAGTGTATCTCAAGCCCACCTCAAAGGCAGCAGAGCATTCCAAGTTGCTGAAAACCTGTGCAAATGGGGCCTCTAAAACAAACATTGTACTGTGAGCTCTCGGGGAAGGGGCAGGAAAAGGATGTTGATAATTAAGGGGGCATTTTCTTGAGGCGGCAGATGAGGAGGGAGGCTTACTATTTTTAATCCCCTCAGCCCCAGGACATGATAATCAGAGGAGATCATGTCCAATCTTGAATCAATTCCCTGTTCAAAAAGAGGTGCTAATACCCCAGGGACCAGACTCTGAAAATACCATGAAAATACTCTGAAAATACCGTGCTGGTCATTCCTGAGTCCCTGTTCTATGCCCTACAACATATTAGAAGGGCAAGGGAAGGTCAGAGGGTAGTGGCTTGTGTTCTGTGGAAGTAAAACACCTTAGTTCATATTAAGCACTGATAAAACCCAATGACTGGGACCACAGATCTGTTGAGAGGTCACTAGTAGGGACCAAGAGTGGGAGGTCTGGAACATCCTCAGCTTGAGATGCAGTAGGTGTGGAAAGTCTGGGAGGAGGTAAATATTAAAGTAATGGGAAACAGAACACTCCCAAGCCTTAATTTTAATTGGATAGTTTAAAAAATTGAAATAGAATCTAACATTGGGTGCCAGTCACCACAAATGCCATGCCTTTATGGTCACTTGGTATCATAAAAAATTTGCCAAAGCATGCCTGTCTGGCTAATCAAAAGGTCTTGCTAGGAGGTGTTCGTGTGCATGACAGAGTGCCAAGGGGCTTGGTACCACTGACTATCCAACGTGATTCCTATGGAAACAGAAGCGGCAGAGTCTTGGTTAGCTGGCTTGTTGAGGTTTGGCAGAGAAGAAGCGAAAGCTCCAAAGTGACTGCAGATTCTCTGCAACTGGCTTTGACCCAGAGAAAGAGGAGCCACATTCTCACTCTAAAGATAGAGAGGGACCAAACCTAACCCACAGCACATGCATTAGTTCTGGTCATCCTACAGTTGATGGGCAACTAACACTGGGCAGGGGAAGGGAGCTGGTTAGGGAAGAAGGGCTCATTTTTCATTTTTTAAAGTCTTAATTAATATTTTAACCTCAAACAGATTATCAGTGCCTCAGATACAATTTAATCTTAAGTCTTTAAAAGGCCCCCTGAAACAAAAATATACATTTTTTTAAGGCCTCCTCACTTTCTGATAGTCAGTTTCCCCCAGTCTCCAGTTTTACCCTGACTTAGAGTCCACAAACTTCATCAGACCACCTGTGCTCATGGACGTGGGTCTTTCTAGAGGGAAGCCTCGGGCTCGGCTCCAGATGAGCTGTGCCAGTACACCCAATGCCTGTGATGCCCCAAACAGGACCGCGTAGCAATGTATCTCTGTCATGCTATAGTACCCACCATGTGCGTCTACATTGGGCCCAGGATTCTCGGCCTTACCCTACTGTCAGAGGATATTGGGCACAATCTTGTATAGCTGAGCAACCAACTTAAACATGGGATCATTATGCAATGTTTCAGAGCAAACTCTCGCTGACAGGTACATTGTGGCTCAGTCTTCTTTAGTACTGCATGGCCATAGCCTGGAACAACCCATCTCGAGTTCAGTGTAGTCTTGTAACTTCTCATCTGACACATCTTTGCCAACTTCCTTCTGTAGTTGTGTTAGCCAGACAAGCACTTCCTGATTTGCCAGTCCATGTAGAGGAACTGCCAGCCCATTCATGGCTGCTGCAAAGGGCAGGGAAGGGTCTGAAAGGGTACTGCCTGCCAAATGCCTGGCATGAGCACTTATATTGCTGTGCTCATGGTCACTGTGGATGGTGAGCTACAGGTGCATGAGCTCAGTGAACTGAGCATCAGTATAGCCTAACATGTTGGTGAAACTGTGGGACCAGTCCAGCTTAGAGTCAGTGACCCCAATACCACTGCCCTCTCCACAGAGATTTTGGTAGACCTTTTCTGCAATACAAGGTAGCTTTGTGATTAGACACACATGGTCTTCATAAATCAACTCCCAGTACTTGGTTTGACTGGCACCCTCTGGATATGCTCGGGCAAAGTTGTTTAGGGCTGCCATGGCTGCAGTGGGCTCAGACATGGGTGTGGATTGGTGGGAAAGTTGTCCAGCATGGTGACCACATGGGAAGGTAGAGCTGCCTGCCCTCTTTGCCCACTCTCTTAAAAGCCAAGATACCTGTTCCTCTCTTGGGATCTGTCCAGTTACCAGCAGCCAAAATAAGCCCCTGGGTAGGGGTTTTCCCCACCCTTAGTCTTGGGTAGCAGTTTTTGGTATTCAGGGATACTGAAGCCTCGGAAACAGATAACCTCATCAGGATCAAGAACTGATGTTTATATACCAATCCCTTAATGCCTCTCATGCCGCCATACATTATGTCTGCAGTGATTTGGCCCACCACCTTCTTGCCATGTTGCTGCCTGAAGGTCTTAATTCTGGCCTGCTCCTTAACTATCAGGTCAGCCAATATGTCTTTCAAATTCTTGGAGGAAGCACTGGCATGCCAGGCAGCAAGAACAAGACAAGATGCACTGTTGCTTCCCAAGAGCCTGGCAGCCACTTGGGTAAAACCATGGTGAGTGAACTCTGCGATCTGGTGGAGAGGGAAGAAGGGGAGAGAGCTGTGGCAGAAACAGGAACCACCACTGCGGCACCAGAGGCCGCAATGGGTGGACAAGGTTGAAAGGAGGCAGCTGAGGAAACACATAGATGAACCCGCAGCAGGTGCCCAGCCAGGGGTTCTCAGCAAGGCCCTGTGCACTGCCAACTATGAACTTATTAAGACTGACTTTCCAATAGTTCTTAGCAGTGTGTGGAGTAGAAGACAGAACAACGTATACCTTCAGAATGCACAGAGCCAATGCATTTTTGGATTACAAATAAATCAATTTAAGACCTATTGCTTCTGACAATGATTTGCAAATTGAGAAAATTCTGGAAAAATAGACATCCAACAAATTAACAGTGATTATACCTAATGACAGGGTTACAGGTGGGGATTTGTTTATTTGTATGTTCTTATTTGTTTCTTGTTTCTTATGTCAGCAAATTTTAAATAGAATATGCAAAATGATGACCTCAATAATAAAAAATATTGTGTTTATTCACAAGAGTTAAATAATGTTTATAGAAAGGAAAAGATGCGAATGTTTTTGGACAGATTAGGATTTAAACAAAAATGTTAAACACAGAATACAAAATATGTTTTTTCTCCTGTTGTCTAGCTTTTGTACAGTGAACACATGTTGCTTTTATAGTAAGAAATATACATTTTAAGTTTCAAAATTACTCAGATTTTGTAAACAATCTAAAAGAAAATAAATGTGTTTGGAAAATCCATTTCCGAGTTTACAGTAGTGTTGAATAGCCCAGCCAAACAACACATGACCTGAATCAAACACAAGTTTACTGGACTCACTCACTATTCCAGAAGGGTGACCACATTCTTTTGTGTTACTACATGTCATCAGTGCCTGTAAGAGACAAAGGTCTTTGAATGGTGTTAAGGTTTTTCATTGGTTTTCTTGTATTCTTAACATTTTATGGTCAAGGTCCTTTGATGTGGGTTCATTCCATAATATTTGTGATGAATGAAAATACATGAACACAGAAGGAAAAACAGGAATGAATTGAGAAAAATCACATCATTCCAGGTAGTCTGTCTCTCCGAAAAAAATCATCAAGCTAAACCACATGATATGAAAATTCATTCCTGAATCCTCAGAACAAATAAACTTCTGGTTCTTTTTTCTTGGAGAGGAAAATAAGGAACGTGATGACAATATTTAAGATGAGATATCATTTTAGCTTTACATATTCTATGTTGAGAAGTCTTTTCTTTAAATATTAATTTGTCCAAACAACTTTCACCTTTTCCTCTCTGTAAAATATTATTTAGGCCAGGTGTGGTGGCTCACGCCTATAATCCCAGCACTTTGGGAGGGTGAGGCAGGTGGATCACTTCAGGTCAGGAGTTCGAGACTAGCCTGGCCAACATGGTGAAACCCCGTCTCTACTAAAAATATTTTTAAAAATTAGCTGGGCATGGTGGCACATGCCTGCAATCCCAGCTACTTGGGAGGCTGAGGCACAAAAATTGCTTGAACCCAGGGGGCGGAGGTTGCAGTAAGCCGAGATTGTGCCACTGCACTCCAGCCTGGGGGACAGAGCTAGACTCTGTCTCAAAAATAAATAAATAAATAAATACATACATATTATTTAATTATCAGTTCACTATTTAAGGGATACAATATTGTGTTTTCATTTTTGGGATCATAATTTTATACATTGTTATTCAAGTTCACTAATAATTTAGAGATTTTCTGCATGTTTTAAGGGATAATATGACAGGAAGGGTGAGCTACATGTTTTGATTCCATAACTTTAAAAAATTTGTTTGCTAAGGCATAGTCAAATGAACTGTAATGACACCTTATTTCCGCAGTGCTTTTCATCTGAAGATCTCAAAACATCCAACATTTTGAACACATTATTAAACCATTCTGACTGTGACAAAAGTACTATATTTTAGAAATATTTACATTTTTCCATTCTTTATCCTCCTTAGATTTGTTGATGCCTTTGGAATTTTCAAAGAAAATGTTGTTCATATTTAATAGAGAGGCAATTTGGAAAATATTTTACAATGTAACTTAGTTTCTACAGTAGCACACAAAGTATATGGGGGGATATTCTTAGCTCAACCAGTATAACAAAAAAAAGAATTAAAACTACCTGTAATCCCAGCACTTTGGGAGGCCAAGGCAGGAGGATTGCTTGAGGCCAGGAGTTTGAGACCACCCTGGGACAACATAGCAAGATCTCATCTCTACAAAAAAAGAAAAAATAATAAAATAAAAATTAACTGGGCGTGGTGGAACATACCTGTAGTCCTAGCTACTCAAGAGGCTGAGGTGGGAGGATTGCTTGAGCCCAGGAGTCTGAGGTTACAGTGAACTGTGATCATCAGGTCATTGGACTTCAACCTGGGTGGCAGAGAGAGACCCTGACTCTAAAATAAAAATAAAACTACCTGTAGTATTTTGAATATCTATTATGCACCAGGCCCTATGCCAGGCATGCTACATTTGATATCTTAAAACCTTGGCTGGGCACGGTGGCTCACGCCTGTAATCCCAGCACTTTGGGAGGCCGAGGCGGGTGGATCACGAGGTCAGGAGATCAAGACCATCCCGGCTAACACGGTGAAACCCCATCTCAACTAAAAATACAAAAAATTAGCCAGGCGTGCTGGCGGGCTCCTGTAGTCCCAGCTACTCGGGAGGCTGAGGCAGGAGAATGGTGTGAACCTGGGAGGAGGAGCTTGCAGTGAGCCGAGATCACGCCAGTGCACTCCAGCCTGGGCGACAGAGCAAGACTCCATCACACACACACACACAAAAAAACAAAAAAAAACCTCACAGAGTCCTTCCAGACAGATATAATTATTTTCATACCCTTAAACTACTTAAGAGCTCTAAAGTGAAAAACCTGGATTGGAATCCAGCTTTCTCTAGTTACATTTTCCTTTATCACCCTGATTGCTCCACAGTTAGATGAATGTGGAGGGGAGAGTGGAAGAGGGTTTTATTCAAATTTTTCTTTGCCTCTTTCATTTATTAATCATTCCAACTATTGGTAATTTTTTAAAAAGTTAGATTCAGAAGCAAGAATCGAGAATACTGATAGATTCTTCATGACAGTTTGTCTTTATTTATTTTTATTGAGACAGGGCCTCACTCTGTCACTCAAGTTGGAGTGCAGTAGTGCAATCACAGCTCACTGCAGCCACAATCTCCTGGACTCGAGTGATCCTCCTGCCTAAGCCTCCCGAGGAGCTGAGACTACAGGCATGTACCACCACGCCTGGCTAATTTTTGTAGAGATGGGGTTTCACCATGTTGCCCAGGCTGGTCTTGAACTCTTGGGCTTAACTGATCCACCTGCTCCAGCCTCCCAAAATGCTGGGATTACAGGCATGAGCCACCTGGCCTGGCCAACAGTTTATATCTTTTTTTTTTTTTTTTTTTTGAGATAGAGTCTCACTGTGTTGCCCAGGCTGGAGTGCAATGGCGCGATCTCGGCTCACTGCAACCTTCGCCTCCTGGGATCAAGCAATTCTCCTGCCTCAGCCAGAGAGTAGCTAGGATTACAGGCGCGTGCCACCATGCCCGGCTAATTTTCGTATTTTTAGTAGAGACGGGGTTTCACCATGTTGGTCAGACTGGTCTCGAAATCCTGACCTCGTGATCCGCCCCCCTCGGCCTACCAAAGTGCTGGGATTACAGGTGTGAGCCATCGTGCCTGGCCCAGTTTATATCTTCTATTGGCACAATATGAATGGTGAGATGACGTGAAGATGGTGGGTTTATTTAGGTGAGTCATGGTCCTGATGTTATAGGTTACAGCAGCATTTCCCAAAGCACACCCCATATACCACTGCTAGTCCTCAACATAACTTTAGGTTAACATTTCAATATTTTACTAGCTATATAGATTTAACATTTTAACCGTTACTTTTTTTTTTTAAGATAGTGTCTTGCTTTGTCACCCAGGCTGGAGTGCAGTGGCAGGATCTCAGCTTACTGCAGCTTTGACTTCCCAGGTTCAAGTGACTCTCCCTCCTCAGCCTCCCAAGTAGCTGAGACCACAGGTGCATACCACCATGCTTGGCTAATTTTTTTTTATTTTTTATTTTTTGTAGAGATGCTGTTTCACCATGTTGCCCAAGCTGCTCTCAAACTCCTGGGCTCAAATGGCCCACCCATCTTGGTGTCCCAAAGTGCTGGGGTTACAGGCATGAGCCACCATGCCTGGCCAATATTTTTAACATCTATCAGGAAACAAACTAGCAAAATAAACTTTATAACACTAACAGGTGATTCACTCATTAATAAAGTTTTACAATTGTCAACACTAGTGCTCTTATTTGTTATAAATCTCTGCTATTATGTCTAGGAATGTTTTTAAACCTCTTAACCATAATTTAAAAATAGTGGCTTACACCTGTAATCACAGCACTTTGGGAGGCCGAGGCAAGCAGATAACATGAGGTCAGGAGTTTGAGACCAGCCTGGCCAATGTGGTGAAACTCCATCTCTACAAAAAATTTAAAAAATGGGGGGGAAGCAGCCAAGATGGCCAAACAGGAACAGCTCCGGTCTACAGCTCCCAGCGTGAGTGACACAGAAGACAAGTGATTTCTGCATTTCCATCTGAGGTACCGGGTTCATCTCACTAGGGAGTGCCAGACAGTGGACGCAGGACAGTGGGTGCAGCACACTGTGTGCGAGCTGAAGCAGGACGAGGCATTGCCTCACTCAGGAAGCGCAAGGGGTCAGGGAGTTCCCTTTCCTAGTCAAAGAAAGGGGTGACAGATGGCACCTGGAAAATCGGGTCACTCCCACCCTAATACTGCGCTTTTCCGACGGGCTTAAAAAACAGTGGACCAGGAGATTATATCCCGCACCTGGCTCGGAGGGTCCTACGCCCACGGAGTCTTGTTCATTGCTAGCACAGCAGTCTGAGATGAAACTGCAAGGCGGCAATGAGGCTGGGGGAGGGGCGCCCGCCATTGCCCAGGCTTGCTTAGGTAAACAAAGCAGCTGAGAAGCTCGAACTGGGTGGAGCCCACCACAGCTCAAGGAGGCCTGCCTGCCTCTGTAGGCTCCACCTCCGGGGGCAGGGCACAGACAAACAAAAAGACAGCAGTAACCTCTGCAGACTTAAATGTCCCTGTCTGACAGCTTTGAAGAGAGAAGTGGTTCTCCCAGCACACAACTGGAGATCTGAGAAGGGGCAGACTGCCTCCTCAAGTGGGTCCCTGACCCCTGACCCCTGAGCAGCCTAACTGGGAGGCACCCCCCACTAGGGGCAGACTGACACCTCACACGGCCGGGTACTCCTCTGAGACAAAACTTCCAGAGGACCTATCAGACAGCAGCATTCGCGGTTCATGAAAATCCGCTGTTGTGCAGCCAACGCTGCTGTTACCCAGGCAAACAGCGTCTGGAGTGGACTTCTAGCAAACTCCAACAGACCTGCAGCTGAGGGTCCTGTCTGTTAGAAGGAAAACTAACCAACAGAAAGGACATCCACACCAAAAACCCATCTGTACATCACCATCATCAAAGACCAAAAGTAGATAAAACCACAAAGATGGGGAAAAAACAGAGCAGAAAAACTGGAAACTCTAAAAAGCAGAGTGCCTCTCCTCCTCCAAAGGAAGGCAGTTCCTCACCAGCAACGGAACAAAGCTGGATGGAGAAGGACTTTGTCAAGTTGAGAAAAGACGGCTTCAGACGATCAAACTACTCCGAGCTACAGGAGGAAATTCAAACCAAAGGCAATGAAGTTAAAAACTTTGAAAAAAATTGAGAAGAATGTATAACTAGAATAACCAATACAGAGAAGTGCTTAAAGGAGCTGATGGAGCTGAAAGCTCAGGAGCCGATGCGATCGACTGGAAGAAAGGGTATCAGTGATGGAAGATGAAATGAATGAAATGAAGTGAGAAGGGAAGTTTAGAGAAAAAAGAATAAAAAGAAATGAACAAAGCCTCCAAGAAATATAGGACTATGTGAAAAGACCAAATCTATGTCTGATTGGTGTACCTGAAAGTGACGGGGAGAATGGAACCAAGTGGGAAAACACTCTGCAGGATATTATCCAGGAGAACTTCCCCAATCTAGCAAGGCAGGCCAACATTCAGATTCAGGAAATACAGAGAACGCCACAAAGATACACCTCGAGAAGAGCAACTCCAAGACACATAATTGTCAGATTCACCAAAGTTGAAATGAAGGAAAAAATGTTAAGGGCAGCCAGAGAGAAAGGTCGGGTTACCCACAAAGGGAAGCCCCTCAGACTAACAGCGGATCTCTCGGCAGAAACTCTACAAGCCAGAAGAGAGTGGGGGCCAATATTCAACATTCTTAAAGAAAAGAATTTTCAACCCAGAATTTCATATCTGGCCAAACTAAGCTTCATAAGTGAAGGAGAAATAAAATACTTTACAGACAAGCAAATGCTGAGAGATTTTGTCACCACCAGGCCTGCCCTAAAAGACCTCCTGAAGGAAGCGCTAAACATGGAAAGGAACAACCAGTACCAGCCGCTGCAAAATCATGCCAAATTGTAAAGACCATAGCAGCTAAGAAGAAACTGCATCAACTAATGAGCAAAATAACCAGCTAATATCAAAATGACAGGATCAAATTCACACATAACAATATTAACTGTAAACGTAAATGGACTAAATGCTCCCATTAAAAGACACAGACTGGCAAATTGGATGGAGTCAAGACCCATCAGTGTGCTGTATTCAGGAAACCCATCTCACGTGCAGAGACACACATAGGCTCAAAATAAAAGGATGGAGGAAGATCTACCAAGCAAGTGGAAAACAAAAAAAGGCAGGGGTTGCAATCCTAGTCTCTGATAAAACAGACTTTAAACCAGCAAAGATCAAAAGAGACAAAGAAGGCCATTACATAATGGTAAAGGGATCAATTCAACAAGAAGAGCTAACTATCCTAAATATATATGCACCAAATACAGGAGCACCTAGCTTCATAAAGCAAGTCCCGAGTGACCTACAAAGAGACTTAGACTCCCACACAATAATAATGGGAGACTTTAACACCCCACTGTCAACATTAGACAGATCAACAGGACAGAAAGTTAACAAGAATACCCAGGAATTGAACTCAGCTCTGCACCACGCAGACCTAATACACATCTACAGAACTCTCCACCCCAAATCAACAGAATACACATTTTTTTCAGCACCGCACCACACCTATTCCAAAATTGACCACATAGTTGGAAGTAAAGCTCTCCTCAGCAAATGTAAAAGAACAGAAAGTATAACAAACTGTCTCTCAGACCACAGTGCAATCAAAGTAGAACTCAGGATTAAGAAACTCACTCAAAACCGCTCAACTACATGGAAACTGAACAACCTGCTCCTGAATGACTACTGGGTACATAACGAAATGAAGGCAGAAATAAACATGTTCTTTGAAACCAACGAGAACAAAGACACAACATACCAGAATCTCTGGGACACATTCAAAGCAGTGTGTAGAGGGAAATTTATAGTACTAAATGCCTACAAGAGAAAGCAGGAAAGATCCAAAATTGACACCCTAACATCACAATTAAAAGAACTAGAAAAGCAAGAGCAAACACATTCAAAAGCTAGCAGAAGGCAAGAAATAACTAAAATCAGAGCAGAACTGAAGGAAATAGAGACACAAAAAACCCTTCAAAAAATTAATGAATCCAGGAGCTGGTTTTCTGAAAGGATCAACAAAATTGATAGACTGCTAGCAAGACTAATAAAGAAGAAAAGAGAGAAGAAACAAATAGACACAATAAAAAATGATAAAGGGGATATCACCACCGATCCCACAGAAATACAAACTACCATCAGAGAATACTACAAACACCTCTACACAAATAAACTAGAAAATCTAGAAGAAATGGATAAATTCCTCGACACATACACCCTCCCAAGACTAAACCAGGAAGAAGTTGAATCTCTGAATACACCAATAACAGGCTCTGAAATTGTGGCAATAATCAATAGCTTACCAACCAAAAAAAGTCCAGGACCAGATGGATTCACAGCCGAATTCTACCAGAGGTACAAGGAGGAATTGGTACCATTCCTTCTGAAACTATTCCCATCAATAGAAAAAGACGGAATCCTCCCTAACTCATTTTATGAAGCCAGCATCATCCTGATACCAAAGCTGGGCAGAGACACAACCAAAAAAGAGAATTTTAGACCAATATCCTTGATGAACATTGATGCAAAAATCCTCAATAAAATACTGGCAAACCGAATCCAGCAGCACATCAAAAAGTTTATCCACCATGATCAAGTGGGCTTCATCCCTGGGATGCAAGGCTGGTTCAATATACGCAAATCAATAAATGTAATCCAGCATATAAACAGAACCAAAGACAAAAACCACATGATTATCTCAATAGATGCAGAAAAGGCCTTTGACAAAATTCAACAACCCTTCATGCTAAAAACTGTCAATAAATTAGGTATTGATGGGACGTATCTCAAAATAATAAGAGCTATTTATGACAAACCCCCAGCCAATATCATACTGAATGGGCAAAAACTGGAAGCATTCCCTTTGAAAACTGGCACAAGACAGGGATGCCCTCTCTCACCATTCCTATTCAACATAGTGTTGGAAATTCTGGCCAGGGCAATTAGGCAGGAGAAGGAAATAAAGGGTATTCAATTAGGAAAAGAGGAAGTCAAATTGTCCCTGTTTGCAGATGACATGATTGTATATCTAGAAAACCCCATTGTCTCAGCCCAAAATCTCCTTAAGCTGATAAGCAACTTCAGCAAAGTCTCAGGATACAAAATCAACGTACAAAAATCACAAGCATTCTTATACACCAATAACAGACAAACAGAGAGCCAAATCATGAGTGAACTCCCATTCACAATTGCTTCAAAGAGAATAAAATACCTAGGAATCCAACTTACAAGGGACATGAAGGACCTCTTCAGGGAGAACTACAAACCACTGCTTAATGAAATAAAAGAGGATACAAACAAATGGAAGAACATTCCATGCTCATGGGTACGAAGAATCAATATCGTGGAAATGGCCATACTGCCCAAGGTAGTTTATAGATTCAATGCCATCCCCATCAAGCTACAAAAGACTTTCTTCACAGAATTGGAAAAAACTACTTTAAAGTTCATATGCAACCAAAAAAGAGCCCGCATCGCCAAGTCAATCCTAAGCCAAAAGAACAAAGCTGGAGGCATCATGCTACCTGACTTCAAAGTATACTACAAGGCTACAGTAACCAAAACAGCATGGTACTGGTACCAAAACAGAGATATAGATCAATGGAACAGAACAGAGCCCTCAGAAATAACGCCACATATCTACAACTATCTGATCTTTGACAAACCTGAGAAAAATAAGCAATGAGGAAAGGACTCCCTATTTAATAAATGGTGCTGGGAAAACTGGCTAGACATATGTAGAAAGCTAAAACTGGATCCCTTCCTTATACCTTATACAAAAATTAATTCAAGATGGATTAAAGACTTAAACGTTAGACCTAAAACCATAAAAACCCTAGAAGAAAACCTAGGCAATACCATTCAGGACATAGGCATGGGCAAGGACTTCATGTCTAAAACACCAAAAGCAATGGCAACAAAAGCCAAAATTGACAAATGGGATCTAATTAAACTAAAGAGCTTCTGCACAGCAAAAGAAACTACCATCAGAGTGAACAGGCAACCTACAAAATGGGAGAAAATTTTCACAACCTACTCATCTGACAAAGGTCTAATATCCAGAATCTACAATGAACTCAAACAAATTTACAAGAAAAAAACAAACAACCCCATCAAAAAGTGGGCGAAGGACATGAACAGACACTTCTCAAAAGAAGACATTAATGCAGCCAAAAAACACATGAAAAAATGCTCACCATCACTGGCCATCAGAGAAATGCAAATCAAAACCACAATGAGATACCATCTCACATCAGTTAGAATGGCAATCATTAAAAAGTCAGGAAACAACAGGTGCTGGAGAGGATGTGGAGAAATAGGAACACTTTTACACTGTTGGTGGGACTGTAAACTAGTTCAACCATTGTGGAAGTCAGTGTGGTGATTCCTCAGGGATCTAGAACTAGAAACACCATTTGACCCAGCCATCCCATTACTGGGTATATACCCAAAGGACTATAAATCATGCTGCTGTAAAGACACATGCACATGTATGTTTATTGCGGCATTATTCACAATAGCAGAGACTTGGAACCAACCCAAATGTCCAACAATGATAGAGTGGATTAAGAAAATGTGGCACATATACACCATGGAATACTATGCAGCCATAAAAAAGGATGAGTTCATGTCCTTTGTAGGGACATGGATGAAACTGGAAATCATCATTCTCAGTATACTATCGCAAGAACAAAAAACCAAACACCGCATATTCTCACTCATAAGTGGGAATTGAACAATGAGAACACATGGACACAGGAAGGGGAACATGACACTCTGGGGACTGTTGTGGGTTGGGGGGAGGGGGGAGGGATAGCATTAGGAGATATACCTAATGCTAAATGATGAGTTAATGGGTGTAGCACACCAGCATGGCACATGTATACATATGTAACTAACCTGCACATTGTGCACATGTACCCTAAAACTTAAAGTATAATAATAATAAAATAAAATAAAATAAAAAATTAAAAAAATTAAAAATTAAAATAAAAAATAAAAAAAAATTTTAAAAATGAAAAACATTAGCCAGGCATGGTGGCAGGCGTCTGTAATCCCAACTACTCGGGAGGCTGAGGTAGGAGAATTGCAGAGGATGTAGTGAGCCGAGATTGTGCCAGTGCACTCCAGCCTAGAGGACAGAGCAAGACTCTGTCTCAAAAAAAAAAAGAAGGATTATTTTTTTTTAAAAAAGAGTCCTTCAAAACCACAATGTGATACCAGTCAGAATGGCTACTATTAAAAATTTAAAATAACAGATACTGGCAAGGTTATATCATTTATAAATGGTATTACTTGCTGTAATGCCAATATATGTAATGCCATGGACTGAGTCTGGTTACTTATGCTGACCTATGAATGGATCGAAGTGTCAATAATTAAAATGTCTGCCTTGGATGTAAGGAAACTGTGAATATACAAATGACCACTATAGTTTCTCATAATATTGAATTTTCTGTCTTATCATCATGTATTTCTTAGTGATACATCAATTCAGCACTTCTAGAAGTCAAATGTACATATACATTATCATGAACTATAATCCAGGTTGGACTCTTTTTTTAATTTAACTTTTAAGTTCAAGGATACACATGCAAGTTTGTTATATAGGTAAACTTGTGTCATGGGGGGTTTGTTGTACAGATTATTTTGCAACCCAGGTATTAAGACATTAGTTATTTTTCCTGATCCTTTCTCTCCTCCCACCCTTCACCCTCCACCCTCCTATAGGCCCCAGTGTTGTTGTTCTCCTCTATGTGTCGATGTATTCTCGTCATTTAGCTCCTACCTATAAGTGAGAATATGTGGTGTTTGGTTTTCTGTTCCTGTGTTAGTTTGCTAAGGATAATGGCCTCCAGCTCCAACCACATTCCTGCAAAGGACACAATTGTTCTTTTTTATGGCTGCATGGTATTCTATGGTGTATATATACCACATTTTCTTTATCCAGTCTACCACCGATCAGCACTTAAGTTGATTCTATGTCTTTGCTATTGTGAATAGTGCTGCAGTGAACATACACGTGCATGTGTCTTTACAACAGAACGATTTATATTTCTTTGGGTGTATGCCTTCTAATGGGATTGCTAGGTGAAATGGTATTTCTGTTTTTGGGCCTTTGATGAATTGTCACACTGTCTTTTACAATGGTTGAATTAATTTACAGTCCCACCAACAGTGTATAAGCATTCCTTTTTCTCTGCAACCTTGTCAGCATTTGTTATTTTTTGACTTTTTAATAATAGCCATTCTGATTGGTGTGAGGTGGTATCGCATTGTGGTTTTGAAGAACCCTTTTTTTTAAAAAAAAAAAAAATTGATTCTATTATGATTAAGAGGTTTAAAAAATTTCTGGACATAATAGAAGAGATTTATAAAAATATGAGCACTAGTGTTGATCATAGCAAAACTTAATTAATGACTGAATCACCTGTTTGTGTTATAAAATGCAAGCTTCAACAAAAATAACATTACACAAAAATGACAAAAATAGTTTGAAATTTGCAATTTACTTGCCAGCTGAGAGTAAACCTATTTCATTGTAGGTTGTGTCTCAAAATACTGGTGTCATTTGACACATACAAAGAACATTATGAGAAACTTATTAAAATTTCTGAGGCAAAGTAGAAGAACATTCAGGCATCCTAGGAACTAACATGTGTGTAATACGGATAAGAATACAAAAGCTGGAGAAACCTTCCCTATGTTGTTGTAAAATAATTGATGAAACACATATAATCCTACAGGCAAATAAATGCAAAAGCAGTGACTGGGGACAAAGCAAGCAAAATGATTGATAAAGTGCCTCTGTCAAATAAGAGTCTATTTTGGAATTGCAGCTATGAACAGAAAGTAAAGGACCAATTATTATTCAGAGAATGACAAAGTCAATAAAATTCTCTGAAAACTGATGAATCTACCAGTATTGTACAGTAAGAAAATCTTTTGTAATTGTCTGACATGATCTGAGTAAAGTGATGTATAAAAAATTTTTCTCAGCCAAATTGTACATTTGAAGTAA